>NC_000010.11:82567337-82718852 GCF_000001405.40 Homo sapiens
ATAATCAGGGTTTGCAAAATTTATCAAATGAATCTTTAACTAAACAATGCCTGGAAAAGAGTGTTTAAACTGGAGAAATACACACTACCCACAGTTAAAATTTAGTGTCTGCCTGGGTATAAAGAATGTATTATATCTGGTAAACATCCATCCCTAGATACATAAGAGCACTAAGAGGCTTCTCTTGTAAATCTCCTCTGTGTGTATAGGTAGTTACACTTGACATTTGCTTTGCTTGTTCAAAGCTGTCTCTAATAGCTCAGCTAAGGAGATAATATGTGAGACAAATACATATAAATCAATCTCATATGCAAGATATTTCTGTCTCTATAAATGATCCTGTACTCCTTCTTGCCATCTCTAGGAGCTTAATTCCTTACTCCTTCATTGAATTGTCCTAAATCCTGCTGGTACTGCTTCCAAATGTCTCTTCAGAGGTAGTTTCTTTACACCATTACAAATGATTTTTTTCTTTAATGAAGGCCCTCATATTTCATCTTCAAACTAATTAATGAACTCATATATATTCCACTTTTTTGTAGCACCTCTTCTTTTGCAGCTGCAGCTGCCAAAATCATACACCTAAAGCTGAAGACAGTAAGGACCATTGTAGTTAAGCCTGGACATCCTGGAGTGAGACACCCTGTAACCTTGGACTTTTCTTAGCCTTTCTCCTTAGTTTTGTCATTTCTTAAATGAGAGATAAGAGTATCTTATGGGCCTAAAAGAGGAAGATAATGAAAATATTATACATTAAAACATCATGGCACAAATGAACTAGAACGGATGCAGGCCATAGTTGGACAAATGCCATACCCTTCATTGCTGGATCATGGAAGCTTCTAGGAGTATTCTTGATAAGGAATAAAGAGGCAAAGTCATGAAGGAGGACACACTTGCCTAGGTTTTGGCAGTGGTCATTTATCAGCATTACAGGAGCAGTTTAGTAATTTAATATTAGTGTGAGCTACCTATCAGCTGAACATCAGCTTTAGTTTAGTTAACTCTGTGAAAACACTGAACACAGTGTACAGTCAAGGCTAGGTTAGGAAATGCTGAAGTAACAAATAAATCCAGATCTTCAGGTATTAACAAAAATTAGTTTATTCTAGAATGATGGATTTAGCTTGGGAACAGAGCCTGGAGATTTGTCCATAGCTCTAAAGCACTTCTCCCTGAAGGTGGCCCCCTTTACTTCTGCACATATTCCATTGACCAAAGCAAGTTTCATGGTCATCCCATCATTAAAAGAGTAGAGAAGTACTCAGAAGAGGTGAGTTAGGCATATCGAAGAGCCAGGGTAATGTCTAAATATATGATGTCTAGCTCATTGTTAAGTGCTCCAGTTATTATTAAAGTGTATTCTGATTTTTTCATTTCTCAGTTCAAATTACGTTTATTGGATCTGCTTTACCTCCTTATAACACGGAAACTCCTTGTTGTCGTTGACACTCATTGTGATGTAAATCCTAACTACATTCCTGTTTATATGTTATACTGCTTCACTTCATTTTACCTTTGGTCTGTCCAAGCAGAATTATTTGGTTTTCTCATCAATGCATTGTTTTTCTCTACATCACTGCCTCTGATGTCCCTTTACCATTAGTGCTTTAACTGAATCTCTCCATGCCAGTAAGCCTTCTAACATGTCAGGTTCTCAAGTTCAAATGCCCTAAATTTCCATTCCTGATATCAACTTCTGTAGTAATATATTCCGTTAACTCTTATTTTGCTGTTAGACCCAACATTATATTATAGTCATTTTTATATATGATGATGTAGCATTATAGCCTGAAAACTTATGAAGAGTCCATGCCTGATTCATCATGTAGCCCCACTTGTGAGTACCTTACTCATAGCAGTTCAATAATAATACTAATAATAAAATTCATCATAATGTTACATTTAGTGGTGGCATCAGCCTAATGTAAAATGAGCATTGGATTAGATATTTTAAAACTTCTGGATTTTATTTGCACCCCAGTTACTAACTAGCAGTATTACCTAGAACAAGCTGCTTAACCTATTGGAATTTCAGTTTTCTCAACTCTGAAATGGATGAGAAGGAACTTTAACTGATTTTCCCCTTCTGTCTTACAATATTGTTGGGAGAACCAGGTCAGATATGAGATCATAGTATGTGAAAGTATTTTACATAAATTGTCCTCATTCTGATGTACCAAAGCTAAACTCTGGTTTTAAGTCTACAGTGGATTGATTCTTCAGTAGCATTTAATTCTGTTTCCCATTCTGTTTTCTCCACGGAATGCTTCTTAGAAAACGTTTTGGGTTTCATAACATTTTATCTTTCTGGTTTTCTGCCTATGTCTCCTTTAGCTGACCAGTACAGCTAACCTTTCTCTTTATCCCTTCTACTCTACACTCTTTGCTAGATAAGTTCATTCATACCATAACATAAATTCCCATCTATGTACAAATAACTCACAAATATTTATATCCTGTCAAAGATCTCTCATATGAGTGATAAATCCAGGTTCTTGGTTGGTTTCTCTACTTGGATATACTAACATGTCTCAAGCATATCATTGCCAAAACCACACTCTTGATTCACACTTGCCTTCATAAGTCTTGCAATTTTCCAGTGTTTATTTTTTTCTGCAAATGGCACAACCACTTTCTTAGTTTTAAGTGTTAAAATCTAGGTTTTCTCTTTCTTCATCCACAATGCCAAAAGTACTGACATGCTGCAAACCTTACCATGTGTTCTTATTCCATTAATGAGAATCTAAGCCAAATCCCCACCCTTTCTTATACCTTCCAAGGAAATACTTTCTTAACTGGTATTTCTTTCCTTCATCAATCTATTCCCTATACTGAATCTTTTCAAAATGTAAATCCTATGCTATTACTTAAAATAGTTACCACTGTTTGGGAATAAAGGTTAAATTCCTTAACCTGGCCTTAAAGACCACATGCAATGTGTTGGCATCTACTTCTGTAGCCTCATCTCCTGTCAAACATAATGTTCTCTCTACAATTTTGTCTTGCGAATACTTTCCATAGTTGTTATTTTTACTATTTGATTGATTAGTCAATTAAATATATATTTTTCTCATTGGAGACTTTGAGTTTCCTGATGGTAGGGAGAGGTGATCTTTTTTATATCTCACATAACAAGCACTGTGCTTTGCAGACCTCAAGTACTTAATAAATATTTGTTAAATGAATAAAGAGTTTAGTAGGTAGACCTGTTTTTTAACTGTGTATTGAGATTGACTTTTTAAGAGGTGCAATAAAGGCACAAAAACCATAAATATTAATGGGCATGATTTGACCTTCAAGGAAATCAAGATCTATTGGTAAATATGCTTAAAAACAGTTAAGATTGAGGGGAAATTTTGCACTAAGGAAGCAGCAAATCTTCTCCCGGAACGTGGTTTGATATATAGGGCTTGACAGAAGAAGCTTCCGCTTCTGATCTCTGATTTTCTGGAGGACTCATATGTAAAATTTCTCAAACCTTTCAGTATTTTCTGTTCAAAGATTATAACTGTCTTTCATTGTTATGTTTCCTTCAATGTGACAGGTCTCAGTGACCACACATTCCTCATATATATCTCAAACCTGGAAAATTTCAGAGTACTCAACACATTTTCAACTATAAATTCCCCTTTTCTGTGCTTTTAGATATCTATTTATCTCTAGTTTATGTGTTGTATTTTTGTTGTAGCTTGATTATTTCTCCTCGACTCAATTTATTATAAATGTTTCCATACATAGGTATATATATTTTAGAAAATCTATTAATATTTTCTCTATGTCTTCTAGGTTTTGTATCCTGTTAATGAAAGCCTGCTCTAAACTCCCTTATTTAATTGTTAAACATTTGACATGAAAAAATCATCCCCTTAACTTATAAATAACTTATATTAATCAATAAGAAATATACAAATAGGCCAATAGAAACTAGACAAGGGATTGAACAAAAAAGGCAGTAGAAATAATAAATAATTTTAGAGAAAAAATGTTTTCCCTCGCATTTAAAGACATACAAAACAAAGCGATATGAGTTTTGTAATCTGTTCAAGTTGATAACAAATGTTTCATCTAGGTTATGGAGCAGTATTTATTATTATACATCACTATTTGGAGTGAAAAGTAGTACAAAAATTTGGTGAATACATCAACAATGTCTGTCAAAATATAAAAGTACATATCTTTCCTTATCAGCCATACTACTGTTGTGAATTTACTCAACAGATTATTTTCAAAAGAATAGCGAGATACTTCTGCAGGAATTTCTGTTGTACAACCCTTTGAACTATCAAACAAAAAATGTTGGAAACAAGCTACCTATGCATTAATAGGAATGTGATTAGATAAGTCATATTGATTCATCCAAAGAAAAGTATGAAGCAGATCAAACAGTTTAAACAATTGAAGTGGCATCTGTGTGTTCAAGTGGTAACCATTAAGAAACAAATATACAAAAAGCCCATGGTGAATAACTAGTGATTACTTTGTATAAATAAAAATGTATATACAAATGTATGCAAAAATATACATGAAACAATTTTTCTTGAAAGATACATTAAAAAAATGTATAGACAATGAATACCTTTGGGGAGGAGTGCAGTTAGGAAGTAAGGGAGGTAATAACTCTTACTTCTCATTTTTTTCATTTCATAACTATCCTTGTACTGTTTTAAGTATTTATTACACAGTATGTGTATTACTGTCATGTTTTTTACAAAAATAACTGACATTAAACCATTTTAATTTCTATGCTTCACAAAAAATTTCTAAAGCTAAGGATTTTAAAAATTCTTCCTCCTTTTGTGGAAGTGAATTCTATACTTGAACATATTTAATATTGTATAATGTATCCTCTTTTCTTTGAACTGTAGCCCTCAGCATTTTTTTCAGCTCCTCGTGTGTTCTTACTTACTGAATCTATCCTTATTAAGCTGCTAATTCTGCTATCAGGAAGTTCTTGGTAAGTTCTTGGTATTTAGGATTGTGCAACAAAAATTGAAGTCAACTATTTTGTACAAAAAAAAAATCATTATTCTACATTAACAGTTGATTTTGGAGGTACTTAGTAAAGTCGACTCAATCATAGACCTCCAAATGGAACAAACACCCTTACTTGCATTTCATTGTGATTTTTGCAGGCCCTTTGCAGTAATAGTTCTGAAAAACAGTCAGAAATAAACAACTTAAACCCTCAAACATATTTTATATGCTTTGAATTTAAAGCACTCATTTAAAAGAAAAATTCAATCAGGTGGTTTTTTTTGTGTGTGTGTGTGCCTACATTTGTTTAGGTTTCTTCTTTTATTTTTTATTTTTGGCCCTTATTCCTCTTTCTTTTCTACTTTCCCAGAAATTCTGGTAAAAGTAATGTAAAAAATGTGAATACCTGATCAGAGGAGTTGCTTAAGAAATGTCTCAGCTGAAACCAGTACTTTAGTAAGAGTGCTAGCTGCTTAACAAGTCAAGGGTGTGAGGAGCTATGAATAAAGAGAGAACATTTTGCCATGAATTATTCAGTTAACCATGGGATGCTGTTATCTCCACTTCAGTGGCTTTTAATTGCACATGTAAGAATTCTGCTTATCTGGCATTCAATTTGATGCCAAGGTGCAGCTTGCTCAAGCAGGGCTGGAGGCAGGAAATGAGGATCTCATCAGACAAGCAGCTGCCATTCACGAATGCATTAAAGAATATGGCATAGACTAGCAGGGAAGGCAGAAGACAGACACAGATAATGGCAATGGAAGGATATGTGAGAATATGTGACAAGAGATTGTCTTTTCCTTTTGATCTTATTGCACATTGCTGAGTCTTGAGTGAAAAGTCAAATTGTGTGTGCTACCTAAATGTACTGCATTGCCTTTGTTAGAGACCCAAGGTTGACCTCTGGAGCAAAGATGACAAGTTGCTCTTTAAACCATTCTCTTGGAAAATCTGGTATTCTTTCAGTCTAAATGGAGTCCTGACTCAATTTTGAGATTCTGTTGGTTTTAATTTTTCAAAGTTTACTTCAGATAAGTTTGTTTATCAAGATAAATAACTTTCTCAAAGCCTTTTTCTTATATCAAATTTGCAGAAGAGATATCTTTTGGCACCTGTGCTGTAAATGTTTCAAAACAATTTACTTATAAAATACCATTTTAAATATTTTCAGAAGATTTCATTTGGAACCCCTTCTCCATTTAAACCTCTCCGCATAGTATGTGATTCCTTTATATTATTGCATACATCCATTTCCAAATTGAAGTGCTTATGCAACACATGAGTTTCATCAGTTACCATTTGCTGTGTGCTGTGTAGTGCATAGGAGATGTAGAGATTAGAAGTATCCACAGATAAAGCACCCTTACCTTATGGAGTTCAAAGGCTAAAATGAAGATGTGCAACACAAATCTGCTGGTCTGCATGGCTGTTGCTGCATGGGAAGTTTATGCCAGACAAAATGGAAGCACTTTTGAGGGTTTGATTACCCAAGGCTTCCTGGGAGAAGGGACTGGAGAAACTGGAAGAGACCTCAAAAAAGGCTTCCTTCAGAAGACAACATTTATGAAATATGATAGGTTTGTAGACATTTCTAAATTTGGCGAAAGAAGAAGTGCAGGAATTTCAATTAGTATAGCCATTATGGAAAACACTATGGAGGTTCCTCAAATGTTAAAAAATGGAACTACAATATGATCCAACCAATCCACTGCTAAGCATATATCCAAATGAAATGAAATCAAAATACCAAAAAGATACCTGCACTCCCATGTTTATGGCAGCACTATTCACAACAGCCAAGATATGAACTCAACCTAAGTGTCCATCAATGGATGAATGGATAAGGAAAATGTGGTCTTATTACACAATAAAATACTATTCAGCCGTTTAAAAAAAATGAACCATATCATTTGCAGCAACGTGGGTGAAACTGGAGGTCATATAATGTCAAGTGAAATAAGCCAGGCATACAAAGACAAATACCACATGCTCTCTCTTATATGTGGGAGCTAAACAAGTGAATCTCATGGAGGTAGAGTAGAATGATGGTTACCAAAGGCTGGGAAGCATAGGGCAGAAGGAATAAAGAGACTTGTTTAATGGGTACAAACATACAGTTAGATGGAAAGAATAAGTTCTAGTGTTTGGTAGCACAGTAAAGTGACTGCAGTTAACAATATAGTGTATTTTTCAAAATAGCTAGAAGAAAAGATTTGAAATTTGTTCCCAACACAAAGAAATTATAAATGTTTGAGGTGACGGATATCCCAAATACACAGATTGGATCATAATGCATTGTATACATGTATCAAAATATCACAAGTACCTCATAAATGTTTATAATTATGTATCAATTAAAAAAGAAAATGTGGTATACATACATAATGCAATACTATTCAGCCTTACAAAAGAAGGGATTTGTGTCATTTTGATACCATAGATAAACCTAAAGTTTATGTTAATTGAAGCATGTTTTACTTAAACATTATGTAAATGAAATAAGCCAGGCACAGAAGGATGAATATCGCACAATGTCATTTACATGTGAAATTTAAAAAGTCAAATTCTTAGAAGCAAAGAGTAGAATGGTGGTTACCAGGGGCTGAGAGGTGAGGGGATTGTGGAGATGTTGGTCAATGGACACAAAATTTCAGTTAGAGAGAAAGAATGAGTTCAAAAGATCTATTGTGCAACAGGGTGCCTATAGCTAATAATTATGTATTGTATTCTCAAAAATTGCAGAGTGGATAGTGTTATCAAAAGAAATAAAAGCTAAGTATGAGAGGTAATACATATGTTAATTAGCTCCACTTAGCATTCCACAATGCATACGTATTTTACAATATGTTGTACACAAGAAATATATACATTTTTCATCTGTTAAAAATAGAAAACAAAAACAAATCTGTAAGGAGAAAAAGTTTAGTATCAGAAATTAAAGAATACTGAATTTAATCATAAAAATGGCCTCTGAAAGAAAGTTGATAATCCTGGGGGACAGCATAAGAAAAAAAGAAGAAAAAAAGAAAGAATAAAAGATTTAGAGCTGTGGTGACAAGCTTGGAGGGTTGGAAGAATAGCAGGTTATTAAATTACTTTTTGGGACAATAGGGTGCACAAGGCAGAATGGCAAACAATGTGTGAAGAGTGCACATGGTGAGGTGCCAATTTGTGAAATGAAGTCCATGTGGATGTTATTCTGAAGGCAGTGAAGAACCAGTGAATAATTTTAAGCAGGAGTGACGTGATCAGATTTGTGATGCAGAACAATTGTTCTGATGACATCGTTCCTTTGGCACAGTTGTTGATGGGGCTCCACTATAAAAACGAACACAAAACAAACAAACAAACAAAGACCACTTCATATTAGCATTTCCTATGGGGCCAAAAATCAAAGGGACAATATAGATTAATTGAAACAGCAGATCATTTGATATCAGAAGAATTGGGTCTTGTTTTATGTTCTTCCATTTTTTAGCAACATAATTTCGGACAAAGTATTTCTCCTTTCCCATTAGGTTTAAGTTCAACGTATGTCAAGAGCTTAAAACAATTTCTCATGCATGAGTGAAGCTTCATAAGTGTTTGGGGAATAAATGAATGGATTTCTGGGTCTCCGTATTCTTCTACTAAGTAAGGAGGATCAAAAAAATGTTCTGAGAGTCATCTTCCACTACTTTGGAAGTGACTACAAAGTGACACATGAGATTAGAAGTTAAGTGAACAACCTATATTGTATCCCTTCAGGGAAATTATTTTTGTATTAATATTGTTAGTCTGGGGAAAGTATAGTGGGAGAGGAGAAACTATGAATCAATTTTCAGACATCTTTTTCTCCTCTGTTTTGTTTTGTTTTTTTAATTTTGGCAGTCTCTTCTTTCCTGCCTTCTCTTTTGCTGGATGTTTTTATATTCCTACATTTTAAATATCTTACTTCCAAGGATGCAATCCTGGGACACCTTATCTTTTTGCTTACTGGGCATTTCTGTACATACTTTTCCCCCATGTACTTCTTTTCCCTTATATTCCACTGTGCTTTCCTTCCTTAAGGTCTCAAAAAAAAATAATTCCTGCTCCCCTCCCCTCCTAGACATCTAATATAATCTTTCCAATGGGCCTGAGCTTTTCCAAAAGGCAAGCAGAACCATTTAATTAGGTTGTGTTTAGTTTCTGCCCAGTGAAAGTCCCTGAGGAAAGGAACACAAAAGCAGGCTGTCACATTGAAATATGTGAGGGTTCATAGTTGGGGAAATATAGAAAAAGGAAATGCTTATAACTTAATTTATTGGATTCAGCATAGTTACTTCTTTGATATTGTTTTGAAGAACTTGATGTGCTAGACAACTGCCTTTTGTGTTCAATCTACCATCTGAAGTCCTCACTTCTTTACTGTAATTGCTGAAAATTCTAACCCCCAGGAAAGGGGACAAATTTCCTGAGGATTTTATCTTGTAAACTCTTGCAGCACCAGTCCCTAGCCCAGTGTTTGAGACATAATAGGTTTGTTAGTAAATAAACAAATGTCTCTAGGCACATGCTGATGGCTTATTTTTGCAGAAGGCTGAAGCTGCTGCTCAGGAATTTGCTCATCATCAGCTTCCTTCTAGTGACACCTATATCTTCAATTGATTCTGGACTCTTCATCTCAAAGCAATGAGTGACTTTTATTTGCCAGTTCTATGCTTTGGTTAATAGTTTTCCAACGTTTTATTATTTTGTTCCTCTAATTTCTACTTTTTTTGGTTGCAGTTATTCAAGAGATTGTGACTAAATGCTGCATTCTTAGAAATTTCTTCTCTGAATCAACCTCTAGTTTGAAATGCAATATATAATTCCCAACATACCAAGATCATGTGTCTTATTCCTTTAGATAAAGTTTACTATCTTACCTTGTTTCAAAATTGTGAGCATGACTTTTATAATAACTCTGCATTTTATTACAGGAGGGCAGGTACCATGCTGTGATCTTCCTATCCTGGGGCCTAGCACAGGGCCTAACAGAAGTCGTCAATATGTGTTTCAATTGAATTAAATTGAATGAAGTGTAATTTCTACTCAAAACTTTTATAGTTATAGGAATAAGAACAAATTTTACAAAAATCATTGTAAGTTACAAATTAACCTAAAATTACACAGTCATATATATCTAGCAGGAGAATTTAGACAAATTCTATACAATTAAAAGTAAAGTTGAATATATCATTGATATTTAGGTATTATTTTTCTGAGAAGAGAAGCTTGATCATATCAGAAGGATCCCTACATTTAAGAGAAAATAATCCCATTGTTTTGTTGCACTAGCTTAAAAAAATCTTTCTATGACCTTGAACTCGGTAAACACTGAAAAATGCAAAGTGTTTCCTCTCAAGGGCCTCTTTTATGGATGTTTCATGAATTTTCGGGATGATGCTGTTCATCTATGTTAATGGATTAGAAGGACCATTGTTCTAAACAGTGAAAGATAAATATACAGTCCCTCATAACAGTTTTGACCTAAACTTTTGTCATATTTATAGGTTTTCTTCCTCTCAACAATTTATTTTCTCTCATGGCTTTGTTAAATTAGGTAGTTTTATTACAAAATTTCTTTGCAAGCTTTTTAAAAAGTCTCAGGAAACTGATCACGACAAACTCTAGTGAAAGTCTTTATTTCCATGGTAACCATAATATGCTCTAAGTATCTTCTCATGAAGAGGTAGAACCAATGTTACCAGCAAAACACAGACAAAGGCCAATAAAGAAGGAACACACAAACACATGTTCATTACAGCAATGGTGATCAGGGCTGCAGTCACCCTCCTTTCAATATTTAATTCATTAACGCAAGCAGATTTTTTAATAGTATAAAAACAAATGGAGAAAAGTACAAAATATGCAGTGACAATTTTTGATTTAGAATAAAAAATGTTAAATGCCATTTATTGTTAAGTTCTTAATTTTGTAAGAAAATATTTTCTGACATCTAGGCTAAAATATCAATGAAACTCAAGTTTCTCTGATCATTGATATTTTAGCCTAGATGTCAGAAAATATTTTCTGTTAAAACCCCGATAGTAAACAGGTAAGATAAGACTCTGAAAGCTATATGGTTTCTGTGCGGACTACTTGGCAATAAGTAAACAAATAAGTATTGCTGTGTTACAATAAAACTTTATTTTAAAAAACAGGTAATGTGCCAGAATTGCCCCTTGATCTATAGTTTGCCAATCTCGTTTATTATAAGGTAAAGGTAGTATTATTCATATTCTACAGATGAGCAAATGGAGGTTCTGAGAATTTAAACAGCTCAAGGTGAGGCAGAATCAGAACACAAACCAAGTCTATTGCATTTTAAAGCCTGACTCCTAAATAGCTACGCTTATTTAATAAGAATAGCTGGCATACACTGGTGCCTAATGGGACAACAGTGTGCTAAATTGTTTATGTCCATTACTTTGCTTAACTTAGAAAATCCCTGTGAGATAGGTATGATTAGCATTCTCTTTTTATATATGAAGAACAGATACTTGGGAAATCTAAGAAGATTTTCGAAGGTCAATAAAATAGTAACTCTATCTTTGTTCAAATTAACTTATTCTACTTAATTCAGTGACTGAAATAATGAAATCATTTTTTAAATGTGACCTCTATGATCTCAAGAATATAAAAAGGACCATGCACATTTAAAGAGTACCTGAGTTCTGGTGGATGCTTTGAGATTTGCAATGCTTATTTCTCAATCTGCAGCTTTACTTTGATTGTAACTTGGTTTCCATTCAGTCTACTTTATGAGGTGTAATTTCATGAAGAGGCAAAAAGGGTAATTGTAGTGTGCAGTTAATTAGAATTTCTAATTAAAATCATCCTTAAAAAAAACAGCCAATGCCAATGGAAGAATGATTACTAATCTGTAAATTAAGGAAACTGTATACTGCAAGATTTTTTTTTTCTACTGGATTGAAAAACACCCAGTTTAAGTTAACATATCATAAATAAAGATAATCACCTTAAATAAAGGTAAAATGCATAGGGCAATAGGTTGATTTAATTTGGCCAAATGTAATTCAGTTAAATACTGGGGATTCTGTAACTAACAACTAATCTTGCTTCACTTCCCCTCCACAGCCTTCAATTCCTTCTTTCTAATGTTTGGGCACAGATTTGATTTTCTCAAATAAGGGCTCAGTAAACCTGTCAGGCTTTCACAATTCCATTCGTATGTCTATACACAAGCACACATGTGCGTTTGCGTGTGGTTGGCAAGAACACATGTATGTGTTAATGCATGCCTGTGAGTGTGTGTGTCTGTGTGCTCTGTGACATATGGGTAAAATTTGTAGCATCTTGCTTGATACTCACAGGTTAACTTCTTGCTTCAACTCCATGTTGTAGCAACAAACATTTCCCCATAATCTCATTTCACCAGGTGTAGGAAACTTCAAACTATCTTAATAACTTAAGAATCTTTCTGAAGTCATGCAGAATCTGTTCATTCTGCATTTGTGGCCATGGTTACATAAAAAAGTAATCATTGGGAAAAAATCTTATTTATCTGTATAGTAATAGTCAAAATTTTGGGTCAAGCTGTCTCTGAAAATTATGCTAAGAGCTTTGATAGAATATCAATACAGTCACTCCTTGGTATCTGCAGTATCTGTGAGGGATTGGTTCCAAGATCCCCAAGGATACCAAAATCTAAGGATGCTCAAGTCACTTTTATAAAATGGCATAATATTTATTATAACCTATGCACCTCATCCCATTTATATATCTCTAGATTACTTATAATACCTACTACAATATAAATGCTAGCTGAATAGTTGTTATACTTCATTATTTATTGGTATTATTATTTTCTATGTGTGCTTGTTTGAATCCACTTATATAAAATCTGTAGATATGAAAGCCTACTGCATCATGTTTACTTTTTAGCATGCTAAATATGTAAATATCTTTTTGAAAATTAATAAACTGTATATTTTCGAGCAGTTTTAGATTTACAGAAAAGTTGAGCCCAAATACAGAGTTCCTATATAATCACTCCCCCCCCACAGTTTCCACTATTATTAACACTTTTTACAATTGAAGAACAAATATGGAAATATTATTATTAACTGAAGTCCGTAGTTTCCATTAGTGCTCACTCTTTGTGTTCTTTGGGTTTTGACAAACACATGATGTCATGTATCCACCATCAGAGTATAACACAGAATACTCACATTTCCTTGAAAATCTTCTGTCTTTCATCTATTCATCCCTCCATCCTCCCCTGGTTCCTGGCAACTACTGATATTTTTTACTGTCTCTATAGTTTTGCCCTTTCTAAAATGTCATATAGTTGGGATCAAACAATACGCAGTCTTTTTGGGCTTATTTTTATCACTTAATGATATGCATTTAGGATTCTCTACCTTTTTTTCATGGCTTCATAGGTTATTCCTTTTTAGCTCTGAGTATTATCCAATTGTATGGATGTACCATAGATTGTTTATTCTTGTTTATTTATTATTTGCAGTTCTTCTATTGAAGGATATCTTGGTTACTTCCAAGTGCTGGCAGTTATGAATAAAGCTGTTAGAAACATTTGTATGTAAGTTTGTAAGTTTGTGTGTGTGTGTGTGTGTGTGTGTGTGTGTGTGTGTACATAACTTTTCAACTCATTTGAGTCAGCACCTAGGAGCTTGATTGCTGACAGTAAGAGTATATTTAGTTTTATAAGTAACTCCCAAACTGTCTCTCAAAGTGGTTGTACCATTTACATTCCCACCACAATGAATGAGAGTTCCTGTTGCACTATATGCTTGCCAGCCTTTGTTGTCTATGTTTTGGATTTTGATCATCTAATAAGTGTATAGTGGTATCTCATTTTGCAATTCACTAATGACATGTGATGTTGGGTATATTTTCATAGGCTTATTTGCCATCTGTATATCTCCTTTGGAGAGGTATTTGTTTAGATCATTTCCCACTTTTTAATTAGGTTGTTTCTTTACTTATTGTTCAGTTTAAAAAATTCCTTATATATTTTTCATACAAGTTCTTTCTCAGACAGATACGTGTTTTGCAAATATTTTCTCCCAGTGTGTGGTTTGTCACTTAGTTTTCTTAATGGTATTCTTCACAGAGCAGAAGTTTTAAATTTTAATTGATTTAAACTTAATTGATAAGTCCCACACCAATTTTTTTCTTTCATAGATGGTACTTCATATAAAATTAATTGCCCAAAATTATAGAGATAGAAAGTAGAATGATAGTTACTAGAATATGTGTGGGGATGAGGAGAATGGGAAATTATTGTTCTATGGGTATAGAGTTTCAGTTTTATAAAATGAAAAGAATTGTGGAGATAAATGTTGGTGATGGTTGCTCAATGTTATTATTGTATTTAATGCAATAGTACAACATTTTAAAGTGTACACTTAAAAATGTTTAAGATGGCAAATTTTGTGTTATGTGTATTTTACCACCAAAAAATTTGGAAAAAACTTCTTCCCAAACCCAAGGTAACCTAGATTTTTTTTCCTTGTTATCTTATAGAAGTTTTATACAGTTTTATATTTTACACTTAGATCTATGATCTATTTTGACCCAATTTTTGTGAACAATGTAAGGTCCGTGTTTAGATACACTTTTTTTGCATAGAGATGTTCAGTTGTTCAGACACATATATTAACTTTTTGTTTGCTTCTTTATTGATATTTATAGTATCGAATCAATATTTCCAAAATAAGAAGCTCATCAAATGCCTGTGTTTTAGGGTTCTTCTTTGCCATTTCCTTATTGCTAGGAATTCAGCATCTAGGCACTCATTTGAATGGATTTGTTTGAATATTTATACTCGTCAGCAAAAAAATTCCCTTTTCAGTCTTAGTTGCTTTGGCTGCTACGAACAGGGTGGATTCTTTTGAGTATATGAGAGTATTTGAGGTCATGGATAGAAGAGCTTCATTATTCAAATTCCATATCATCAGAAAAATGGGGAAATAAAATGGGAGGTAAGGATACATATCTCTTATTAAGTAGCTTTGGGAGATGTCAGAATATACCACATGTAAACTTCTGTTTTCACAAAGGGCAGGGGGATGAGTGAGCACAGGGACCTGCCACAGTTTCTCCTATGTAGCTTCTGATCATTTCTGTTAAATGGTATGGCTCCCTTCTTGCACTATTCTTTAAGTCTTCTCAGTTAGATCATTCTTGGACATCTGTTCAGCTTAAAAATCAGATGTTCTGGGGAAAATACTTGGCCAGGTTTGTAACAATTTCATCAGAGATAGTGCTGTTTTTAAAGGTAATTACAACATATATCTGCATCTGGACAAGGACCAAAAAAGAATGCAGAAGAGGGAAAAATATCTATATGTGTTGTGTGTGTGTGTGTGTGTGTGTGTGTGTGTGTGTGTTTTATACACATATACACATGAACACACATAAATGTTTAGTTTCCTCTTCTTTCCTAACTTGAAACTATTTATGACAAAATAGTTTACATTTATATAGCATCATGGTCAAAGTGCTTTACATTTAATAATTTATTTAATCCAAAGTGGAAAGAAGCTCCCTTTTTTAAATTAACATCAAAGCAGTTTATTTTCAGGGTGGGAATTCAAATATTTGAGCATACTTTTTACTTGGCAAGTCATTTTCTCCCCTAGGACAGATAAGAGGCTATTAAATCTAGCACAGCAGACTGAGAATTCAGCAAATCAAATGACAGATAAGGAATTGAAATATGAGCTGCATATCAAATTCTGAATTTAGGCAGTTTGGAGAAAGAAATGTTTCAATGGTTTTAATGGGAATTTGTGTTTTAAAAGGGTGTGTTCAAGAAATACTGGGAAGAGGATTAAAAAATAGTGACAAAAATAGGTGAGGAAGAAAAGCACATGATTGAACATTAGAAGTAAATGCCTAAAATATCTGTACTTCTCAGTTTTACAAAACAATCAATAGTAAGGTGATATGAGAACATTCTCCTTTAGCTCTTGCTCTATTAAAAAAATAATACTGATTCAGTAACAGTCTAAATCCCAAGTGAATTTTCTCCACTAATGCCATAAATAACTCACTTCCTGCAGGCACATCATTTTTCACTGTTGAAAATTAAAATTGTTAAGTAGAGTATTGGCAAGAGAGAAAATAAGCCAAGCTTTCATACCTTGTTCTTGTTGCTTCTATATTTACGTGTGACTGAATTTGGTTGGATCTTAAGTATTTGGTACTGTGTTTGTCATAACTACTTGTAAACCTATGTCTTCTAGTTTAGCTTTAAACATTACGCTTGTGATTTCTATAAAAACCTTCATGTTTTACAAGAAATGAAATGTGTTATTTTATATTATTTTGCCTGTGACATGGAACTCCCAAGTATGGTTATTTTTGGTCCATAAGCATGCTACTCATACAGTTCCACAGGACCCCATGCTAAAAAGGGCCTTCCACTCGGTTGAGTGCTCTGCCATCACTATTAATTTTTGAACAAGGGCCTCTACATTTTCATTTTGTACTGAGCCTTTCAAATCACATAGCTGGTCTGGTATGTTTGAATAAGAAGTTCAGTAACAAATAGACCAAAGTCTCAATCTCACCCCTGGGCCTTGCAGCCAAATGAACATGGAAAAGCTAATTGGCACTAGTGAGCCTATTCTACCCTTATTTATAACCCTTATTTATAAAATAAGGATTAAAACTGTCTCTCTCAAAAGGCTATAATGGGAATTGAAAAAATAAAACATTTAAAGAGCCTCACAAATAAGGCAAATACGTTTTTGTTGTTGTTGATGTTTCATTTGAATTTATTTATTTTTTGAGATGGTGTCTTGCTCTGTTGCCCAGGCTGGAGCGCAGTGGTGTGATCTCAGCTCACTGCAACCTCTGCCTCCTGGGTTCAAGCGATTCTCTCACCTCAGCCTCTGGAGTAGCTGGGATTACAGGAGTGTGCTGCCACACCCCACCAATTTTGTATTTTTAGTAGAGACAGGGTTTCATCTTGTTGGCCATGCTGGTCTTGAATTTGTGACCTCAGGTGATCCACCTACCTCAGCCTCCCAAAGTGCTGGGATTACAGGCATGAGCCACTGCACCTGGCCTGTTTTGTTTTTAATCTCAGGAGCCAACTCCATTAAATTTGGGTGGCTTCCTGGTAAACTTCAGCCAGAAAAGCTAACGCTAAATTCTTATCTAGGCAATAGATATTAATGTGTATAAATTAAGCCACAAATTATTGGGTTCATGAGTAAAACCTTACTTTGAAAAACTCTAGCTTGAACTTTGCAATCCTCACTTTCCTTTGGGAATGAATATTTTTATTTTTCCACATTCTCTCCTGTTATTAGGGCATCAATGTTAGTTCATAATTGTTGCCTTTTTTTCTGCTTAAGTGATCTCCTATCTTAATAATCAAAACATAATTTGTTACTTTGGAGAAGGGCACTCAGGTGAAAAATGAGAATGCAGATATAAGCATGATGCTTTGACAGAACGCCAGCCATTGTCTTTTAGCATTGGTTTCTTATGAACAATATTTCTGTGCTATGACTGGCCTCATTTGAAGGTATGTTCTGTATGGGAGGTGAAGGACACAGTGCTTTTGGCTGCAGAAATCTGGAGAGTTGGCACAGGGTTTTAAATGAGGGATCAAGATTTACTGGAGGATCTCTTCCCCAAGCAATTGTTGTTGCTGTTGTTGTTGTTGTTGTTTGTCATTGTCTTTTTTGGGGGGGGAACGGGGGGAGTTTTGGCTGTATGGGTGAGTATAATTAATAAAAATGCGTCGAAGACTGCAAATAAATGAGTTTATGAGAGGGAAGAATGTGCAGGTAATTGTGTAGGCTAGCCCAGAGATATACCCAGCTCTGCTCTCAACTCATAAGGTTTTTTTTTTAATCTTAATTACTTTTCCAAATAAGCCTTTCTAATTGAAAAAGTATTCTTCAACAAGAATAATTAAAACTATGGAACATGAAAGATGGGTAATTAGTTAGCTCATTCATATCAATTGACAGATGAATAAACTGAGGTCATACAATTTTTAGTGGACTAATGAAAATAAGCAGAAAGTATAACCTATCTGAACTCTAAGTCTGTGTGAGTTTAGGTTCATGAACGAGTTTCCCCAGAACTTAATCAACTGTGCACTAAATAACATAGACTTTTAGTTCTGGAGGGCAGAACCAGCCTTGAGAGTTTTGTTAACTACAGATTTTTACTGTACACTGTCCTAGTCACAGACCACCCACCCCTCTTCTCCGGCTACACAGTAGTTACCTCCTCCTCATGTGGGCCTGCCAGATCCACTGCAGATTCTTAAATAGCCATTGCTGTACCAAATGAAATTCTATCTGAGAACCTGTTTTGAGGGTATTATTTCTTCTCTACAACCTTGTGGCCATCTCACCTACACTCTCTAAGCCTCAATTATTCATCTGTAAATTTAGCATAATGATAATTATCTCTGCTCAGCCTCCTTCAAAGCACTGAATTAATGGAAAGCTTAGAAAACATACACTGAAGCACTTTTTAGTGTGCTCTATCAATTGAATATTATAGTGTTCATATTGGCTTTTTATAATAGGTATACTACTATTATTGATATTAACACAATAATGTGTTCAAACTATTGAAATAGGATTACTTAAAAACTGCGTTAATATTCAATAGCTTAAATCTGAATTGTAATTACTTTTAGAACTTTATACACTAAGTGATTTCTAAAGTGACTAAAATAGGGAAGAATATTTCTTGTTTTGAAGGAGCATAATGATTTGCAAATCATGGATGATAGGTTCAAAGAAAAATAATTGGTTGAAAAACAAACTGTTGGGTACCATGCTCACTATCTGGGTGACAGGATCATTCATACTGCAAACCTCAGCATCATGCAATATGCCCATGTAACAAACTTGAACTTGTACCCCTAAATCTAAAATAAAAGTTGAAATTATTAAAAAAAAAAAAAACAAGAAAACGAAACAAAGCTAAACTGAGAAATATTTAGGAATATGTTTATTATCCTTGGGAGAAGACAAGGAGAAGCTGTTGGCTGTTTGATGCTCTAACAAAATTTTCATCAAAACCGTATTCCCAAAATGGCCTTGAAAGGCAACTACATTGACTGTCAATGATAACAGCAGGATTGGACAGCATGGTTGTTGGTTACTTACAGTCTGGAACCAGAATGCCTGAGTTTAATTGCTGGTTATGCCACTTATCATGAAATATTAAGCAAAATACTTGGCTTCTCTGTGGTTTAATTTCCTCAGTTATAAAATGAGGATAATCTAATTGGGTTGTTATAATGAGTAAATGTGAAAATATTGCTTAGAACAGTACTTGGTGTTTTAAGTATTTATTAAATATATTTCTTAACTGGTGATCAATTAGATTCTATTCACCATCTTTATTTTATCTTGTGTTTAGTTGCTTTTGAAATTAGAAAAATAAATCAAGTAGCATGTCATCATATCTATACAATACATATTTTTTAAAATGTGGACATCATTCAAATGCTCAGGCTTGTAGAATTTATGTATATTGTTAACAATTTTAATGATTTTGAATGTAATCAAAAAGATATTTTGAAGAGGAAATGGATTGGATAATTGTGATCTGTTGATTTTTTCATGCTAAAAAATCATGTTTTTTCATGTTTTTCATGTTTTCATGTTTTTTAAATGATACTGAAATCTTTGCATTAGGACAATGTTTCTCAAAATGTGACCCAGGAACCCCTCAGGTGTCCATGCCTATTTCAGAGGGTTCACAAGGTCAAAACTATTAACAAAATAATACTAAGATGTGATTTGCCTTATTCATGCTCATTGTCTCACAAGTATATCATATTTTTCCAAGATTACATGACCTATAGTATTACAAAAGTTGAATGCAGACACAGATCTGAGAACTCAACTGTCTTCCATTAAAATAGTCATTAAGGATATTCATTAAATTGTAAAACAACACCACTCTCGTTAATTTTATTTTGTTTTTGAAAATGTATTTTTATAAAAGTATATGCTATTCATATAAACATGATGTGTTAGTACTATACATTTTAATGAAGTAATACATAAATATTTTTAATTTTCAAAATTTTAATTCTTTAGATTAATTATTAATAGATATAACTGGCTTAAACAAAAGCTCCTTGGCATCCCCAGTAAGTTTTAAGAATGTAAAGGGGTCCTGGAAAAAAAATTAAAATTACTGCATTAGACTATCTGTAGTCTCTTAGAAATTCATCTTGGGCAAGTGGTTTAATGGAGTTGCACAAGTCTGTGGAACAACCAAGAGGTAGGCCCAACATCATCCAGGCTCTCCAGCCCAATCTTCTCTGGATGAATGGAACAACTAGCTTCTGTGTGTTGTTTCTTTCAGTTCTAGAGCCGCTGATATGACAGATGGACAGGCCATGAATCAGAGAGCACAGGGGTTCTCTGTTTAGAGTCAGTAAAAACATGAATTTGAGTGACATTTTTCAACCAGAGCTCCTGATATTTGGAAGCTGGCAGCAATACATATTTAAAACAGTATGTAGGCACAGAGAGAAAGTAATGTGAAAGTGTAAATAGTCGATGTGATGATACTCAGAGATTTAAAAATTATATTTCCATTTTGAGGAAAGTAGTTTTTTTGTGTTGTTTTACAAGATTGAATTGCTACATAATTTTACAAGTCATATACATGTGTTTATATACATTTGATAGTTCACTATAATTGCAAAAATTAATTTAGCTTCCCTTGGAATTGAGAGCTGCTGGGTTCAAAATTTGGCAGACAAGTACAAGTGAGCACAGGCCTACCCAGGACCTCCTGGTTCCAAAGTGAGCACAGGCCTACCCAGGACCTCCTGGTTCCATCCTTTTCCCAGCTGATATGGTTTGGATATTTGACCCCTCTAAGTCTCATGTTGAAATGTAATCCCCAGAGTTGGAGGTAGGGCCTGGTGGGAGGTTTTTGGATCATAGGGAGCACCATCCTCTTGATGATGAGTGAGTTTTTGCTTTAGTAGTTCATGTGAAATCTGGTTGTTTAAATGAGGGTGGCACCTTACGCCTCCTGCCTCCTTCTCTTGCCCCTGCTCTTACCATATGACATGCTTGCTCCCCCTTTGCCTTCCTCCATGATTAGAAGCTTCCTGAGGCTCTCACCAGAAGCAGATGCTGGAGCCATGGTTGTACAGCCTGCAGAACTGTGAACCAATTGAACCTTTTTTTTTTCTTTTTTGAGATGGAGTCTCGCTCTGTCGCCCAGGCTGGAGTGCAGTGGGACAATCTCGGCTTACTGCAAGCTCCGCCTCCCGGGTTCAAGCAATTCTCCTGCCTCAGCCTCCCGAGTAGCTGGGACCACAGGTGCCCAACACCACGCCCAGCTAATTTTTGTGTTTTTAGTAGAGATGGGGTTTCACTGTGTTAGCCAGGATGGTCTTGATCTCCCGACCTCATGATCTGCCCACCTCGGCCTCCCAAAGTGTTGGGATTACAGGCGTGAGCCACCGCACCCAGCCTAAACCCCTTTTCTTTATAAATTACCCATCCTCAGGTATTTCTTTATAGCAACAAAAAATGGCCTAATACATCAAATTTCTAATATTAGCAAGGAACCATTCCCGCAGAGTTGGCCCAGTTTCCCAGAGCCATTCCCTCATTCAGGCTGTCTCATATTTGGTTATATTAGCCTCAGATGTTGACCAGTAATTAAGCTTATATTTGGTTCTACTCTTTACAACATGGGGATTGCTGGCCTACGCATTGCAAGGGAGACTCACCTCCTCTCTGCGTTACCCCAGTGCTTTCTTAGCACCCAGACTCTCTGTCAGTCTCCCTTAACTCTGTTCTCTCCCAGATCCTGCTTGGAAAATTGCCGCTGTTCATATCAATTATTTTTCAGAAACCATGGATGCATTACCAAAATGTAGATAAGAAATGGTAACGAAAGCACAACCCAAGGCATTCATTATGAGGTTAGACAGAACCTCTTTCTTTGGATGCTAAAGCAGGCACCTGGGAAAAACAAAATACCAACCCAAACCCTGAAGAAATGTCACTAATTAATTGAAGGTGTATCACTCAATTCAGAATTGAGACATCTCCAGCTGCATTTTCAACCAGATGTTCTTTCAGGCATGTAGTGTCACTACTAGAGAGAAACTTCAACAGTCCTGATTCTCATAATGAGTCTATTGAAATATCAGGTGGGAAGCCTTCCAGGTGTGAGATCACATTGCTAAAAAACTGGTAATGAGGGGCAATTCTGCTTCATTTCAATATTTATATAGCTTGTTAAGGGAACTTTCTACTAAAGACACCCCTCGGAGTCTAAAAAAAAATGCATTAAGTAGGTGGACAGGGGCTTTGATTTTCCCTCCCTTTGAGGGGAGGTAAATGCATAGTTCCACAAGCTTAGAATACAATGAATCAGGTAACTGAGATAATATTATCTTCTGCACTCACACTACCACAGGATTCACTTTTTCATGTATCATATATTTGCAATTTCCCATTGACTAGGGTAATTGGCAATTCCTGTGAGCTAACTTAAAAATCTGTTTTTCTCTTTAACTAAAACATAGTATAAAATCAGGATCAAATATCTGTTCTGCAACTGTGGAAATGGCTTATTTCCAGAAATGTTTAGGATGTATAATAGTTTGTACCCAGATGTAGTTATAGAACAGTCACTGAAAAATGGTTGTTTTCTTGCATATTATTTCAACCTCCCACCCATGTTAATTGCCAGTGACATTTTGGGTTGTTTTTCAATACTTTAATGAGAACTAAAGCTTCTGAAGGAGTCTTGCTGTATCTACCATCTGATTGAATTTGATGTCCCAATTATTGATGTCTTTGCCAGTCTGTGAAGGAAACCCAACCTCCAATGGGTGAAGTAGCAGCTAGGTTAGGCAGATATTTTATTTAATTTTTAGCTCTAGCAAAACTTAACGGTAATGATCAAGAATCTTGTAAGTATGAAGTATTAATCTTGAATAGGCATGTTTGTACAGAGTTCATGTCTCTGTATCTGAAGACATTAGCCCCTAGGGTAATTTATTATGAGACACACTGAAATTTAAGTTGTATAAAAACAAGTTATCGGAGGAAGCTAAGAAGGCCCCTAGGTGGAGCAGAGGTACTAAACCCTCAGCTTGATAAATACTGAGGAGGGAAGGTCATTACAATAAATATTGCCTACTCAAAATGTGATCCATGGACCTGTAGGATGCTGTAGCATTGGCTTCTACCACGGGCTTGTTAGAACTGAATCTCAGTCCCCCTGCTCCCCACAGACCTACTGAACCAGTTTAACACATTACCCATAAGATTTATATAGATGCTGCAAAACTCCATTAACAAGGGGTTGTGGTGCACCTGTGCTCAGCTTGGGCTGTAGAGTACCAGCTGGCATGATAAGTGAGGCAGCTGGGATTCTGATTCTGACACTGTTGATGCTCAACATCAGGTAGGGACCAGGTTGGTGTGCCACCTAGATCTTGCAGTTTGGAACCAAAGATTTCAATGAATTGCCAAGGTGTTGGGTGCAAAGGAAGTCAGTATCAAAGAAAGAGAGGTTCCATCCATGTAGGGGCCACACTATGGCCAAGAACGCTGTCAGGCTTTAGTTCATTAAATTCAGGGCTACAGACCAAGATGAATGAGTCATTGCCCATTCCATCAAGACATCAGGTGATTAAAACATCAAGATAAAAATGGCCTCAAGACCCATCCACACAACATGGGTTAAGGCAAGAGTCCTGGGGTTTCCCTGAGGCACATCAGCTGTCAGTCTTGGGGACCACATTTCATATTCTTTTCACTAGTGGGAAAGGGTTTCTCAGGTTCTCCTGAGCATACGGCCCGGGTGACGGGCTTCCATTGAGTTCTTAAAGCCTAGAAGACAAGGATTAATGTCCCAACCTATTCAGTTTAAAGTGGAGGAGTGCAGCAAACTCAATCCAAAAAATAATATCCCTAAGAAACAGTACTTTTTGAAGGATAGGCATCCCAAATTGATATTTTCATGAATGAAATGGGGAAAAAATGATAATGATACAAAATACTAATGCAACTGTGCGGTTTAAGTGCAGTCAAACTTGGCAGGATCCCATGATAAACATTCATAGTTTTAATGGCATCTAAACTGTAGTAACAATCAACGAGTTAGTAAAGCTTGAAATTAGTAAACTCAATTTGATTCAGAGTTTGTGGTGAGCAATTCTAATACTTGTGTGTTCTTAAGGAATTACCTTTGAATTTTTTCTTTTAAATATGTCAAGGTCTTAATAGTATTGACTTTCTTTGACTGTATTATCTCTTTGAACCCTTGCGTCAACACTGTTAAATAAATAATCTTAGCCTTATGTTTAAAATTAGGCTTAGAGAGGTTAAGTAACTTTCCCAAGGCCATTCAGTAAAGTACAACTCACAAAAACCTTCTGAAAATTTTCCAATTGACTCTGTCTACTATTCCCCAAGGATTTTGAATCTCATTACTTAGGCCTTTGTGAGTTATCAAATCTTTTAAGCAAAAAGGTTTTCTTTCTTCAGTCACTTATTCATTCAGTTACTTCTATCTTACAGGGCCTGGGGACCTGTAGGTAAAAAATTGTCACAAAACAATGTTTCTTTAGCTTTGATCCCATTCTGCAGAGAACTCTAGTTTTTCTCCAGTGCCAACAAAGCATTTCTGGGAAACACCAGAGGTTTTATCCTTTGTATTCTGAATGAATCCCATTTGCTACCACAGATTGTGTGACATTTCTTTCCTTTTATGCTTAGGTTTTCTGTGGTCACTGTGGATTAATAAGGATAAACAAAACTTCCAAAATAAATACAAACAAACATGTAATGGCTCAGTGAAACATAAGATTATTTATTTCTCCCTAATATAGTTCAGAGAGCTTCCAGGTAAAGCAGTGGGCAGGAAGATAGGGGTTCTCTCCACATTTATTAAGGGATTCTGGATGATGTCAGTTTTGCCATCTTTAATGTGTGATTTTTAAGGTCTTCCTGAGGGTCACCAGTCCAATCGGCTAAAAGAAGAGAATATGAATTGAGTACATGTGGGGAGGTTTTCTGGGGCCAGGCCTGGAAATGGTACAGAGGATGTCCTCTTACATTTCACTGGCTAGATCTCAGTCACATGGCAAACAATTTCTAGGCAGGCAAAGAAATATGGTTTGCCTTGTGCATAAGAAGAGGAGGAAATGCATTTTTCGTGGGTAGCTTGTACTCTCAGTGAGACTACTCATGTGCCAAATGGAAGCCATGGTACCAGCACATAGCAGAGGCAGTCACTGCCACTGCTCATGTTTATAAGATCATTTCCCCTGCTGACAGTCATCAGCCAAGACTAGAATGCCCACATTCAATGAAAATGTGACCCTCATGCAGCTATCTATGCTGCTGACTCCATGCCTCTACCATGTTCAGCTGAGCTTGTGGAGATTGGAGGAAATAGACGATTAAATGTTCACTGCTGTTTTACTAAAGACCCCTTGCCTGGACATATATCTAAATGTGTATATGTTGAGGGATTGTCAGCTGGGACAGGGGTTTAAACCCATAAAAGTGTTCTGTGTTGTCCTCCAAATCATGCTTCCTTTCTAATGCTTGGGTGAAGCAGCTTTGGCTCAGACTTAGACACTTGCTTAATATCTTCTAGGTACTTGAAGAGCTTATGGCCCAATGGGACTAACTGATGCATATACAAAAAATTACACAATCAAATCTCAATTTCCTACTGTTTATTCTTCCTTTGTTAATTTCTCACTCTCTTAGTTTATTTGAATTCTGCTACCAGTTTGTCTGTCCCTTCCCTTTGACCCTGTTGTTTGCACTGTTCTTAGAGTCAAGATTTCAGTGTCATGATAAAGGACCAGCTCATCACATAATAAGAGTTGTAAGAGTAGTGACCCAAGAACATATAAGGGGGAAGTTCTCTACTGAAGGGTCTGTGAAAATTTGTTGCCCCATGGGGCTGGACCAAAGCCTTGCTATTGATCTTACTGAACAGGTCACTGTTGGTCAGGAATGTGATAAAAAGGCTGCAGTTAATACCAACAAACAAATATTATTTGTAACATGAGCTCTTGAGATTATGGTAGAAATGTCACAGTCTGTATTTGCATTTGATTATAGGAGCTACCTTTATTTATAAAGAAGCATGCTGTAGTGAGAATTCTTTGCTAGGAGTCAGAATTGGGTTCAAGTTACTATTGACCACACTTCCAGTATGACCTCAAAGCCATTAATTAACATTTCTCGGCTCATTTTTTTTTCTGTTAAGATGTTGAAATAACACCTACTTCACAGGCTTAATTTAAGAATGAAATGTGATAATATATACAAAACACTTAGCATAGTGATCCATTATGATCTCTGTTATTACTATCAATAATTTGGAAAAAATAGATACCTACTTTTAAGAAATACCTTCATTTTTGTTTTTTATTAGCCATGTAAATAAAACTATCAGGTATTAAATATTACATACTGACATATATTGAACATATATGTCTGTTTTAATACATATATATTTCTTTAATATATATGTGTATATATATAGTTCTTTGTTTATTTTTAGTACTGATGATTCTATTATAAAAGTTGTAGACATTTCATTTACAAGTCATTTTAGACCTTTAAAAGAATATTTTTTAAGAATGTGTAAAAGCCAGACTTTCTTTGACTAGATGACTTTTATTCTAGAACTGATTTTTGTTTTATGTCAGACTCAGGACACATTTGATTTATCCTTAGGTTGTTTTCTGAGGCTTTAAAGTATCAGAGCTGAGTGGAAAAATACTTCTTGGAAAACTGATTTTCCAACTAAGAAACTCAGAGTGATGGATTGCTAGAATAATGGCTGTAATATATACTGAGAATACAAAGGAGATATGTAGTCTCTTCAAGATGAATTTGGGTTCATAAGAAGTGAGTCTGTGTTTTATTATCTTTCTGCATATAAGAAAACTCAGACTATATCATTTCTGCACAAATTCATGGTAGCCCCTGTCTAGCCTATCCAGTTTTAATATGGAACAATAAATAATATAAAGAATATCATGGTAATAAGTTTTTTGTGTTCTCTAATCCAGAAAGGCATTGTTGCCATAACAAGTTTTGTAATTATTGGAGAAAAGTACAAGGATTTCTCAAAAATCATTTAAATGGTAACATTTAAATGTTAAGCACTGCTAAGATGAACCTAAAACAAATATTTAAATATCTCTATTGTTAATGGTTATTTTAAAAAAATTTCTCATCCACACTACTGGTGCTTATAGATACTATAGCCACAAAATAGGTAATACTACCATTATGCTAATCTCTTTGAATACATTAGTTTATTGAATATTTTTTATCTTTTACAATTATTTCCTACATCTAGCAAAGATGTCTAGATTCTAGCTGTAGCCTCTTGCCTCTTTCTCCATTCCTGGGTCTTACTTATATACAATTTCTCTTCCCATGGCCCTCAGAAATTTTTTTTTAGACCCCTGCATGTTCTTACTTTCTGGCTGCATCTGCTCTTATATCTTTTTTTAAATAAGGTGCCTTTGGACCCTACCATGGTATCATGGTCATCGCCTCTCAAAAAAAAAATCTGCATTTGATGTCTTTGACAATAGAAGAATGATTGTATGAAATGAATATCCAATTTATTTTTCTTTTTTTCATTTTCCTTTTTATTTATTTATTTTTATTTTTTAGAGATGGGGTCTTGCTATGTTGACAAGGCTGGTCTCAAACTCCTGGCCTCAAGTGATCCTCCCATTTCAGCCTCCCAAAGTGCTGGGATTCCAGATTTGATCCACCATGCCCCACCCAATTTATTTCTCATGATTCCAAAGTTTATGCATAGATGCTTTAGCTGAACAATAGTTCCTTCTAATTGAAAAGAAAGCCTCTAACTCAGCTGACATGGAACAGTCTCCTGCATGTAGTGAACTTACTCACTACAGAGGGATTGATGCTTTCAGAGAATGACTTAAACTATGACATGCTGTGATGAGTATATCCTCAAGCTACTACGACATGTTTATTAACCTCTGTTACCCAATTAGGTGCAACATTGATCAGAACCTGACTTCAATAGTTTTGATACTTAGTCTTTTAGCTCTGACTGCTTTAGAGTATAAGGTCCTTGAAGATAGGATTACCACCTTATAAAACAGAGTTGCACAACATAGCATGTTAGAAATAGGTTGGGGCCAGGCGCGATGGCCCACACCTGTAATCCCAGCACTTTGGGAGGCCGAGGCAGGTGGATCACAAGGTCAGGAGATCAAGACCATGCTGGCCAACATGGTGAAACTCTGTCTCTACTAAAATACAAAAAGATTAGCCAGGCACGGTGGTGGGCGCCTGTAGTCCCAGCTACTCGGGAGGTTGAGGCAGGAGAGTCGCTTGAACCCGGGAGGCAGAGGTTGCAGTGAGCCGAGATCATGCCATTGCACTCCAGTCTGGTGACAGAGTGAGACTGTGTCTCAAAAAAAAAAAAATAGATTGGAACTTTTAGTCATATTCGTTCAGCTTGAATTCTAGTTCACTAGTTGTTTGCTTTTGGGCAATTCATTTAACTGCTATTAGACTAGCCAACTAGGGACAGTTTTTGTTCCTTAAGTTTCCAAATGGTTGAGAGGCTCAAATGAGAAAATAGTGCCAATACAGTTCATTAATTTTATGATTGTTTCTGGCATAGAAGGAAATGAAATATTTAATAAATAAACCTATGAGTGAATTGATGAATTAATGAGTGGTATTCAAATTATACTTTTAAATGTATGTTTAAATACATGTGGCATCCCATTTCCTAGGCCTAAATATAATGAACATGCTTGCTTGCAAAAGGAGCCTTTTGCTAACTTCCCAGAGAGTCTCATACAATCAGTCAGAGACAAAGACCCGGTAGCCGCTTCAGGAGCCTCGCATAGCAAGTGATTCCTGTTGTTCCACTTTGTGCTTAAAGCATGAGAAGTTGGGCCAGAGTAGAATTGGAAATGGAGGACCTGTAGGCCAGGCTTTGCTTTTAGGGGACTTGTGATTGGCAATTCGTTGCAGATAATAATGAGAAGAAGGCAGAAGATTTTAATGAGGCACGCATGTGAGAACCTCAGAGACTCTGGGTAACTTCGGTGTCTGCAAAGTGGCTACTCCCTGTTTCTCAAGATAAGAGGGGAAGGTTTTTCCATTTCAAACTGGTTGGGCTCATTTTGGTCAGGAAGAGTCTTGGATGGAGAAAAAATTCCAGCCCTGAGGAAAAGGCATTCAGCAGTCCCTGGTAGTAAGGTAAGGGTTGGTAGCTTAATCAACTATAGGCCACACAGAACAACAACAAAAAAGGGGCTTTAGCGGTATGTTTTTACCTAGTAAAAGAAATAATTTCACTTCTCCTCTCTACCACTCTCTTTAAAAACTCATCCTCACAGGTGTATGTAAGACAATCTGAGAGTGGAGGCCAGTGTTTTGCAGTGCAAATCCGGCAGTATGGCTTGCTTTGAGAAGTCTATGGCAATGCTCCAAGGGAAAAGACTGCAAAAGTCAAAATATAAATATATTCAGTGACTTCAGATCCCATTGTTTCCAGGTCCCTTTTGCTTTTTCCAATTACCTGTCTCATTTTTGAGGAAACTTTGCAGTGCTTTTCCTTTTATTGTCATTCTTCCCCCCACCCTGTGGTTTTTCTAACACCTGCACTGCATCATCCTTCAAGACCCTTTTGGCTTTGTTTCTGTGCATGATTATCTCCCCTTCTCCCTCCTTACCATATGCGTTTTAACAAAACCAATTTTCAGTATTGAGTTGAAAAACCCTAATTTAAAGAAGTAAAAGAGATCTTCCCAAATTTTAAGCAACCGTAAAGAACCAGCTGGAAATGTATACATGTGTGTATGTTTGCATGTGGGGGAGCAGTGAGGATGATCTCTAGAGATAGATTAGATATAGGAAGGATTTGGCAATATACATGAGGTTAGCGTGAGAGGAAGGTAAGTTTAAATTTACAGTAGATAGCCATTTCCAAGGATGTATTAGAACAAATGCAGAATTTCAGAGGAAAGAACAGATAATTATTTCACGGCCCTTGAAACTCCTTGCACATTTCTAGCTTGTAAAGAGAATGCAGATTAGCTTTTTATCCATACAGTACCTTCATCTATCAAATATTTCTGTCTTTATAAACCTACAAATTACATACATACAGGTCTGGGCTTCTGGGTGAATTAGAAGCAGGGGCAGGTTTCCTCATAAAACCTAACTTTGTCACCAATTTCATGTAATTTGCTACTAAACTGTGCTTCTTTTGCTTTTTATCTCTCTTCTTATGTGCTCTTAAAAGCTACTTGCTGGCCGGGAGCAGTTGCTCATGCCTGTAATCCCAGCACTTTGGGAGGCCGAGGCGGGTGGATCACGAGGTCATTAGATGGAGACCATCCTGGCCAACATGGTGAAACCCCGTCTCTACGAAAAACACAAAAATTAGCTGGGCATGGTGGCATGTGCCTGTAGTCCTAGCTACTAGGGAGGCCGAGGCAGGAGAATTGCTTGAACCAGGGAGTCGGTGGTTGCAGTGAGCCGAGATCGCGCCATTGCACTCCAGCCTGGTGACAGGGCGAGACTCCCTCTCAAAAAAAAAAAAAAAAGCTAACTTGCTTTAATCTATGACCGTGACCTTACAATGTACTTTATAATGCATGTACCTTGATGATAACATGTGATTTGTGATCTTTCTAGGCTGACAAATGAATCTCCTAGAGCTCTGCTGTGTTGCTACAGTGGTCTGAGTCATTGTGATTAGAAATTATTTAAATTCATCATTTTTATAGACAGGCCTGAACAACCTAGCAGAGTTTTTTTAAAAAAATTTTACTCAAAATTAAATATCTTATTTTGAAAACTGTCCTTGTACTATAATAGCTAGCAGACGCTTCAAATATTTCTCTTTCATGTAGACAAATCTATACATTTCTCCTCAGAGAATATAGATGTCAATGCCTGCAGATAAGCAATCCAAATAAGTTTAATGGAAGGCAGTTTTATGTAATTAAGTTGTGACACTTTTCTGTGTGGAGGAAGGCTTAAAAGGAAGGAAAACAAGCCACAAATGGGAGAAGGGCAATATGCACACGAAGGTTGTGCCTGTGGAATTGAACATTCCTTATCTATCCTTTGGTTCTTCAAATAGTTCATATCTCTTGGACACATGACATTGAGAAGTCTGGTAAAAAAGATAAAGCCTGCCATAGAGTAGCAAGAGAACCAAGCAAATGTAATGTCACAGAAGCCAAGAGGAGACAATTTCACCATGGAGGGATAGAAGGATGGAGTGATTGTCTATATCAAATTATGCTTAGAAAAAAGATAAGAACAGGTAAGTGACCCTTTGCTTTGTGAAATACTGTCTCTGGTGACTTTGATAAGAGCCCTTTTATTGGAGTGGTGAGTATGAAAGTCCAGTTGAAAATGATGAGAAGAGGCCGGGCACTGTTGCTCACTCCTGTAATCCCAGCACTTTGGGAGGCCAAGGCAGGCGGATCACCTAAGGTCAGGAGTTCAAGACCAGTCTGGCCAACATGGCCAAATCCTGTCTCTACTAAAAATATAAAAATTAGCTGGGCATGGTGGCGCACACCTGTAATCCCAGCTGCTCGGGAGCCTGAGGCAGGAGAATTGCTTGAACACAGGAGGTGGAGGTTGCAGTGAGCCGAGATCATACCACTGCACCCCAGCCTGGGCAACAAAGGGAGACTCCATCTCAAAAAAGAAAAAAAAGAAGAAAGAAAATGATGAGAAGAAGAAAACTGAAGGTCAGTAGGTATGGCAGTGAGTATAATCAAATTAGTCAGGGATTTTTTTCTGAGAATAATTGAGAACTAAAATAGTGGCTACAGAAGGAGACAAGGCCAGTTATACATATGGGAGGACAAAAGTGAATATGTGGGCTTCAAAAGGAATACACATTTATTTTTCATTTTAATATTAGAAAAATAGGTAGAGATAAATGCAAGTTGGTGGAACTTGTGGTGGAAAGGTGAGGCTCTTTTCTTAGTCATGGATGCAGCTACGTCATTAGCAGAGAGGAGACCAAATAGCAGCTGGAGATTTGAAGAGGGGATGAGTGATGGAATTGTCATCTCAGAGAGTTTTAACGTTCAAACCAAGTATAAAGTACATTAGGTACAAAGGCAGTAGACATAAATTTGTAAATAAGAATACTTAGAGACTATAAAGAACTAATCAGGCCGGGCGCCGGGGCTCACGCCTGTAATCTCAGCACTTTGGGAGACCGAGGCAAGTGTATCATTGAGTTCAGGAGTTTGAGACCAACCTAGCCAACATGGTGAAACCCCGTCTCTATTAAAAATACAAAAAATAGTCGGGCGTGGTGGTGTTGCACGCCTGTAATCCCAGCTACTTGGGAGGCTGAGGCATGAGAATCACTTGAACCCAGGAGGTGGAGGTTGCAGTGAGATGAGATCATGCCACTGAACTCCAGCCTCGGCTTCAGGGAGAGATTGTCTCAAAACAAAACAAAACAAATCAAAATAAAGTGAAACAAAACAAAAGAATGAATCAATCCAAACCAGAAATGACATGGAAAGTAGTGGTATTAGAATGATATTAAGCATCAGTTCCTTTTAAATGTAGAACTAAAATATCTCAGAGCTGTCCAATGTAATATGAAAATGCTCTCTGCATTCTCTACTTATAATACTTAAAAAAATAGTGATATTCAGGTGTCCTCTGATGATTACCATATTTCTGTTTACATGATCTAATTGATTGTTAAGCATCTAGTATAAATTTGTTGAAATTTTTGACTTGTGGATGGCATACTTCCCTTATTCCCAGCACAGATAGAGGGCTTGTCTTATTTTTAAGTGCCTTTGCCTGTTTCAATAGCTGTAAGTATCAGGGGGAAATGAACACAGCTAGAAATCTGCACTCAAGTGTTCATCCTGCCAGTAGTTGTCATTTAAATCAATGATTAGATTTTATCTTATTGACGACACATATTAACATGTATAAATTCTGAAAAAAAATGTAATAATTACAATTTCCTTACCCTATTTCAAACAGCTGAATTGTTTTAATATACTATTATAGTCCTTTTTTTGGAATATATTGTATTGTATAGTTAGACAAATTTGAATTATAAATAAACCAGTATCTTATTTATTTATTTGCTATTTTTTGAGACGGAGTCTCGCTCTGTCACCCTGGCTGGAGTACAATGGTGCGATCTCAGCGCATTGCAACCCCTGCCTCCCAGGTTCAAGTGATTCTCCTGCTTAGCCTCCCAAGTAGCTGAGATTACAGGCATGCACCACCACACTGGGCTAATTTTTGTATTTTTAGTAGAGATGGGGTTTCACCATGTTGGCCAGGCTGGTCTCGAACTCCTGACCTCGTGATCCTTTCACCTTAGCCTCCCAAAGTGCTGGAATTACAGGCCTGAGCCACTGTGCCTGGCCATATCTCATTTATTTTTATTTTTTTTAATTTTTATTTTAGATTTATGGGGTACGTGTGCAGGTTTATCACAAGAGTATAATTGTGTGACACTGAGGTTTGAGCTTCTACTGATCCCATCACCAATATAGTGAACATAGAACCCAATAGGAAGTTTTTCAGCCGTTACCCCACATCTGCCTCCCACCCCTTTTGGAGTCTCCAGTGTCTGTTGTTCCCATCTTTATGTCCATGTGTACCCAAAGTTTAGCTCACCCTTATAAACAAGAACACACACTATTTGGTTTTCTGTTTCTATGTCAGTTCACTTAGGACAATAACCTTCAGCTGCATCCATGTTGCTGCAAAAGATATGATTTTATTCTTTTTTATGGCTGTGTAGTGTTCCATGGTACATATGTACCACATTGTTTTCATTCAACCCACCATTGATGGGCACCTAGGTTGATTGTATGACTTTGCTATTGTGAATAGTACTGTGATGAATATGCTAGTGCTGATATCTTTTTGGTAAAATGATTTAGTTAACATTGTGTCATCAGTATTCTGAGTTTGTTCATACACTTAGTAATCACTACTGATATTTGTAATGTTGAATATAGGTTTCCAATTTGTGGCTATCACAAAAATTCCAAAATGAATGTTTTCAGGCAAATAACTTTTTCATGTTGGCATTGTTCTTTGGTTAGATTTTTCTTTTCAGAATTGGGAGTACTGAATCAAATGGCATGACTATTGTCATGCTTTTAATGTATTTTTTCAAAGTGTTCTCCAAAAGCTTTGCCATCTTACCTCTACTGGCAATCTATTAGAATCTTAATTTTATTATATCAATATCAGAATTGGACATTTGGATGTATCTGTTGGATATACAAGGTATTCATTTCATCTTTGTCCTTAATTTCTCGGTGGACCTTCCCACTGTCTGCTACTGTAAGAAATGCATTTTTTAAAGTATGGTAGATAGAGTGTGGTGGCTCACACATGTAATCCTAGCACTTTGGGAGGTCGAGGCGGAAGGATCACTTGAAGTCAGGAGTTTCAGACCAGCCTGGGCAACACAGTAAGACAACCATCTCTGCTAAAAAAAAAAATTATTTATATATATATAACTATATATACAAATATATATATATAACTATATATATATAAAACTATATATATATAGTTAACTAGGCTTGGTGGTGCATGCCTATAGTCCTAACTATTCTAGGAGCAAAGATGGGAGGGTTGCTCAAATCCAGGAGTTGGAAGCTGCAGTGAGCTATGATCATGCCACTGCACTCCAGTATGGGTGACAGAGTGAAGCCCTGTCTCTAAAAAATAAATAAACAATAAAAAATAAAGTGGTTTGAACTTAGTATATGCAATTCTTTTTAGGCATTTTGTTATTAACCAAGGATTAAATGTCTAGTCCACAGTCGACTATCCGTTTTTTGAAATTTTCCCATTAATATGTTTCTTCTCTGGCCTACTGGGTTTGCAAAGAGATTTGTGGTAATGATTCTATGCCTGCATTCTTGATATCATGTTCTGTATCCCATGCTTGTTTAATATTCTTACTGGAGGTCAAGGAATAGCATAAATTTCTTATCACATCACAGTATAATGCTGTTAATTTCAGGGAAGATGTAACATACTAACTGTTAAAGAATGATCCTCTACTTATAGTATGAGTGGAAATTCTTATACATAGATTATATTTATTAAATTATTATATTATTTTCAATATACTCTTAGCTTTGAAGATAAGTAAAACTCAATTAAGACCTAGACTCCACCACTTCCTAGCTTAAATAGATATTTGTAAAATTATCCAAGCCAGGAAAAATGAAAATATGAAAATGTATGAAATACAAAATCTATGTCCACCTAATATGTTTTTTTGAGAATTGAATGAGATCATATATGAAGACCCAAGCGCAGTTCCTGGACACAATAAGTGCTCAATAACTATTAGTTATCTGGCTCTCCATTCTCTTGATAAGAAATGGACAAGGCCATTCTCATATCACAATTCTGGGATACACATGAGTGAAATCCTGCATCTTGTCAGCCAACACACCTTGGCCATTTGTTACTGGAGGAGGCCTTTGGAATGACAGGAGGGCATAAGAGTTTGACAATGGTTCTGCAATGCTTGCCTAAGGAGACAATGAGACTCAACCAATTCCAGTTTGCATGTGGCAAAATAAGTTAAAAAGTTGAAAATTTGAGTTGATGAATAAGAAGTAGAAGGGCAGTCAGTCTAACAAATTGGTAAATGTAACTAGCCCTTTGGGTCTAATGTTGGAATCTGGTACTTGGAAGATGTGTTATTGTTTTGTTATTTGTATGTACATTATTGTTCTTCCCTGATTCAGTAAATTCTGTACTAGCTATGGTAAGTGAAACAGAGGGAAAGCATTGGTGCAATTTTGCCTTCATGGGAATTAGCCTACTTTTGGAGGCTAGCTTGAGGTGTCATTGGGAATGTGGCTGCTAGAGCCCCACTCTCGGGAGGCAAAATCAGTCACATTTATGTAACTGACCCCAAATCAAAAACAGTTACTCCCTCTTTTTTATTCAAACCATATTGTATCATGAGTAAGGTTGCTTCTGTACATGTCCTAGAAAGATACTCCTCATTTGTATAGTCACAAAGGCAAGAGTCTCAAAACTGGTCATCTTTGAATATCACTTAAGCTTTCTTTTATGGACTAGGAAACAATTGAGCGGAAACATGTGGTCAACTCTAACTGTAGTGCAGTCAGAAATCCCAGTGTCCACATTTCCTGCAGGGTCTGCCCTAGTACTTTCCTTTTACTTATGACCACCCACAGTTTCACCTTTGAAAGCCAATGTTTGGTGTGCAAGCGTAAGCTTAAGAGAAAGAAAAAGTTGATGCTATAATAAATTTATTTCTGAAAAAAAAAGTCTCAGGTGAAGTTATTTTTAGATAATATATTTACTTGTTATTCATGTGAACTGTGTTAAAAAGTTGCTTTTATGTAGGATTAATTTAAATAGAATACTTGGATAAAATAGATAAAAATAAAGGCAAAAAACTTGTCTTTTCTCTATACACATGGCATTGGATTTCATACAAATGTTATGTTTGAAATGAAAGAATATATTTAAAAAATAATAGCCTTTTTAAAGCAATTTTAGGTGTATGGAAAAACTGAATGGAAAACATAAAGAGTTTTCATATGACCCTTAACTGCCTATCGGTTTTCCCTAACATTAACAACTTGTATTAGTGTGGTGTATTTGTTATAATTGATGGGCCAATATAAAAACACTATTTTTACCTAAAGGCCATAGTTTATGTTAAAGTTAATTATTTGTGGCATACATTCTATGAGTTTTGACAAGTGCATAATGGCATGTGTCCAATCATACAGACTAATTTTACTGCCTCCAAAATCCCTTTTGTTCCACCTATTCATCCCTCTCTCCTTCCCCCTGAACCCTTGGCAAACTGATATTTTTACTATCTACATAGTTTTGGTTTTTTCCAGAATGTCATACAGTTGGAATCATATAATATGTAGCCTTTTCACACTGGTCTCTTTCACCTTGCAATATGTGTTTAAAGTTTCTCTATATTTTTTCATGGCTTGACAGCTTATTTCTCTGAATAATATTCCGTCGCATAAATGTGCCACAGTTTGCTTATCCATTCACATATTGAAGGCCATTTTGGTTGCTGTCACATTTTGGCAATTACAAATACAGCTGTTATACACATTTGTGTACAGGTTTTGTGTAGACAATTTCAAACTCATGTTTGTAATTACCAACGAGTGCAATGTTTGGATCACACTGACACTATTTGACTTGAGGACATGCTATGAAGCTGCAATAATCAAGACAGTGTGGTACTGGAGAAATAAGAGACAAATAGATCAATAAAACAAAATAGAGAACCAAGAAATAGACCACAAAACTATAGTCAACTGATGTTTGACAAAAGAGCAAACACAATTCAATGGAGAAATTATAGTCTTTTCAAAAAATGGTGCTGAAACAACTGAACTTAAACAGGCAAATTTCTTTTTCTTTTTTAATTTTCTTTTTTCCATGAGCTAGTGCAGATGGCATTGTTTTAATTTCAAATCCCTATTGTTTATTGCTGGTGTATAAGAAAGCAATTATCTTTCGTATATTAACTTTGTGTCCTGTAACTTTGCCATAGTTGCCCAATTCACAAATAGTTCTTTACTGAATCATGTCATCTACAAACACAGGTTTTTCTCCTCAATGTGTTTACCTTTCTTTTCTTTCTTTTTTTCTTGTGTCAGTGGATTAACTAGGACCAGTACATTGTGGAGTAGGAGTGGTGAAAGCATACATTCTTACTTTGTTTCTGATCTTAGTGAGAAAACATGTAATTTCTCATCATTAAGTATGTTGTTAGCTATAGGATTTTTTTGTAGATATTCTTTACCAGTTTGAGAAAGTGTACCTCTAGTAAAAGTTTTTGAGGTTTTATCATGAAATGGTATGATAAATATTGTTATCATATCCATTCATGATGTTGAATAGTGTTAAATGCTTTTTACTGCTTTTACTGCATTATGATATAATCATAAGATTTTTTCCTTTAACCCATTGATATGATAGATTACATTAACAGATTTTCAAATGTTGAACTAGTCTCACATACCAGCAACAAATACCACTTGTTTGCGGTATAGAATTCTTTTACTACATCAGTGGGTTCAATTTGCTAATATTTTTGATAATTTTTATATATTTGTAAGAAATATTAGTTCATAGCTTTCCTTTTTCATAATGTCTTTATTGTGTTTTGATATTAGGGTAATGCTAGTCTCACAGAATGAGTGAGAAAGTATTCCTTTTGCTTCTACTTTTTGAAAAATATTATAGAGAATTTATGAGAATTTATATTTCTTAAACTAGTATTTCTTTAATTGGTATTGCTTCCTTAAATGTTTAGTAAAGTTCACCAGTGAATCCATCTGAGCTGGTTGCTTTCTGCTTCAGATGGTATTAATTATTGATTAAATTCCTTTAATAGATATAGGCCCATACAGATTACCTATTTCTCCTTCTGTGAGTTTTGACATAGAAATTTTCACAATACTCATTTATTATCTTTCTAATATACATGGGATTATAATCATGACCTCTCTTTCATTTCTAATAATAGTTGTCTTTCTTTTTCTTAGTTAAATTAGCTAATAATTTATCACTTTTATGAGGTTTTTCAAAGAATCAGATTTTCTCTGTTGATTTCCCATTGTCACTTTCATCAACTTCTGCTCTAATTTTGTATATGTCTTTTCTTCAGCTTACTTTAAAATTAATATGCTCTTCTTTTCTTAGTTTCCTAAGGCATGATCTTAGACTATTGGTTTTAGATTTCCTTTTATTCTACTATACACATCAAATGCTATAAATTTACTGCTAGGCACTGCCTTTGCTGAATCTTATAAATTTTGATAAGGTGAATTTTTGTTTAGTTCAAAATATTTTAAAATTTCTTTTGAGACTTCTTCTTTGACTCACGTGTTATTTAGAAGTGTGGTATATAATCTTCAAGTGTTTTGGGTTTTCCAGTTATCTTTACTGATTTTCAATTTAATTTCATTGTGATCTGAGAGAATACTTCACATGATTTCTGTTCTTTTAAATGTGTTAAGGTGTGTTTTATGATCCAGAAAGTGATTTATCTTGGTGAATATTCTGTGCTGTCTTGAGAATATGTATTCTGATGTGATTGAATGAAGCATTCTGTAGATGACAATTAGATCTAGTTGATTGATGTTGCTGTTCATTTAAACTATGTTCTTACTGATTCCCTACTGAAAACACCAGCACAAGGTTAACAAGAATTACAAGCCTGACTTTAGGAAAAATTAGAGTCAGGCATTGGACAGGGTGTGCTGGTACACTTTGACCCACTTCCCTGCAGCTGCTGCATAACCCAGAGTCACATAGCACACTAACCACCTGCTCCTTCATTGTTCCTATAGATAGAATCTCTGACACCGAACATTTTTACCCAAAAATTGCTAAAGGTGTTCTTCATATCCTGAATTTCAGCAGAACAGCAGACACCAAGCAATCTGAAAACCCCCACCAAGGAAGTGACTCAGCACCAAAACGTTGTTTCTTCATCTCCCTGTCCTGTGACTTCATTCCTCACTTCTTGACCAATCAGCAATCCCACACTTTGGCCCATCACCCATCTAGGCCCCTTAAAAAACCCATCCCCAAACCTCTTGGGGAGGCAGATTTGAGGTTCCCTCCTGTCTCCTTGTTTGACTGTCCTACAATTATTAAACGCTTTCTCTGCTGCAACTCCCACTGTTTCAGTGTATTGGTCAGTTACTGTGCAATGAGAAATCAAATCTGGAGGTCCTGTAACACTATCTGCCATATCTATCAATAACTGTTAGAGGAGTATTGAAATCTTCAACTATAATAGTGGATTGATACATATTTTTATAGTAATTATATTAGTTTTTGCCTTATATATTTTGACACTGTTGTTGGGTGCACACACTCTAAGGAATATATGTCTTCTCAGAGACTTTACCCCTTCTTCATTATGTAATGCTCCTCTTTATCACTGATAATTCTCTTTGCTCTGAAGTTGCCTTGATTGGAAATTAATATAGCTGCTCCAGGTTGCTTTTGATTAGAATTAGCATGGTACATTTTTCTCCATTCTTTTACTTTTACTCTATCTGTGTCCTTATTAAGTGGACTTCTTATAGACAATGTATAATTAGGCCTTTTTTCCCCACTCTGACAATCTTAGTATTTTAATTGATGTATCAAACCTTTGATATTTAAATGATGATATAGTTGGATTAATATCTACCATATTTGTTACTGTTTTCTATCCATTGCTCTTGTTCTCTTTTTTTCTTCTTTCTTTCTTTTTCTGCCTTCTCTGGTTTTAACTGAGCTCATAATAGAGTTCATTTTCTTCCTCCTCTCTTAGCATATTAATTATACTTCTTTTTTCCTGTTTTCTGTAGTAGTTGCCCTGGAGTTTGCAATATACATTTATAAACAATCCAAGTCCTATTTAATATAAAACAATAATATTTTTTTGTATTGCAAGTACTTTATAACAGAGAAGTCCCAGTCCCTCCCTTCTAGCCCTTATAACATTATGTTCATTCATTTCACTTTTCCATGAGTTACAATGACCAAATACTTTGCCATTATTATCTTGACAAACTTTAACCTGACAGATCAATAAGAAAAAGGAAAGATTTTATCTTTATGTATTCCTTTTCTAATGCTCTTCCCTTCTTTTTATAGATCTCAGTTTCTGACTTATACCATGTAAGTTTCTTGCAAGGCAGGTCTACTATTAATAGCAAAAAATTTCTTCAGTTTTTGTTTGTCTAAGAAAGTCTTAACTTTTGAAGACTTCCATTCTGAATAACAATGTCATTGGATACAGATTTTAGCTTGGTGGGTTTTTTGTTTCAGCACTTTAAATTCTTTCCTGCACAGCTTCTGTTGAATGTAGAAGAGAAATTTAATGTAGTACTTATCTTTGCTTCTTTTTATGTAAGGTGTATCTTGCTTTTTTCAAGATTTTTCTCTTTGTGTTTAACCTCCTGTGGTTTGAACTTGATATGCTCCCGTGTAGACGTCTGTGTCTTTCTTTATTTTTATCTTTCTTGATGTTCCCTGGGCTTTCTGGATCTTTGATTTTGTTTCTATTAATACTTCTGGAAAATTCTTGATTATTATTGTTTTAAATATTTCCTTGGTTTTGCCTCTCCTGCTATACGAAATCCCTATTGTTGTGGTGGTAAATTGTTTGGGGAGGGAAAAGTTAGGTTTATAACCCTATGGTTAGTTACCATTCTTAAAGTGAGACTGTGTCTCTGGGCTGTCACTTCTACAATTTGTTCTCAACCCCTCTTCCCTTTTAGGTGATAAAAGAAGGCTGGAGGGAGCTGGAGTTGGGTATTGCCCTTCCTCCAGGTCAGTTAGGCTCTGGTAAAATAGTTTGTCTTAAGGGTACGCCTTGTTAAGCATAACAGAAAGCTCTGTGTATTTCAAATGGCTACTTCCCCTGCCCCCTGACTCACACACACAATTAGAAGCACCAACATATTTTTCTTTAAAAAAAATGTATCACCCCTCCCCCTCAGGACTGGGCCTCCCTGGTGTTTTTAACTCTCAAGCTTGTCCATACTGAGCCTTGAATAATTTGTCAATTACAGTTTAAATGTTCCTACCCTGATAGCCCTCTTGATTTTAATTTAAAAAGAAGAAAAGTACTGTACATCATTATATAATAATGTCTCCCTTCTTTCTATGAAGAGATCTCATAATCCTTTTTTTACTAACACTTTACCATATGTGATTGACAAATTTATGACGTTAGAAAAGGAAGACAACTTTGAATGTATGCAAAGAAAGATTTGGAGAATCAAAGTAACATATTCAAAAGCATCACTAATAAGCTTTGTTAGTTCCTTGGCTTTTGTTTGTAATAATTTTGTATTTAATTAGAAAATAACGTGATTCTATCCTTGATAATTGAGTAAAGAGCCATTCAAAGAGTGCCAATCTATGGACCAGGTTTTGATTAGCACTGATTTGGTATGTAGCTTTATTGAACTTAGCAACTCTTCTAGGCAAGTTCAAGGGGCCTGCTTACCTCTGTCTGTCTTTCAGGACTACAATCTATTCAGAGGAAAATCTCACCTTTTCTATTTTACAATTGCTGAAGTGTCATTTTCTGTATCAGAGTAATGGTGCTAATCAATTGAGAAGATCACAAAACTTTGGATTCAAACATTAACAAGTTATATTGTGCCAACAGATTATATTTTCCAAAAAAAAAAAAGAGAGAGAGAAAATTGGAAAAAAAAATAGTTGGAAAACATGTGTTAAACCTCATAATCAATCTGGTAATAGAATTTTCATGATTGTACCAAACCTTATTTCAATGAAAAGCCAATGTAATGTAACTACATTAACATTCAATTATTCTTTATTCCTCATCGTAAATTTAGAAAAGGTCAAAAGAGTAAAGAAGAAAGTAAAATTAATGTTATCCCACAACCCTTGTATATAATATTAGTTTTCCATTTATATCACAACAAATTACCACAAATTTAGCAACTTAAAGTAAAACAAAATTATTGTCTCATAGACCTTTAGGTCAGAAATCTGGGTGTACTTGGCTGGTTTGTCTGCTTAGAGTCTACCAAGGCTGGGCTTTTATCTAGAGGATCTGGAGGAAAAGCTGCTCCCAGGCTCACTCAGCTTCCTGGCAGATTCACTTCCTGATGGCTGCAGGGCTGAGGTCCCTGTCTCCTTGCTGGCTGTCAGCCAGAACCTCTCTCACCCCATCGAGGGCCCCTGTATTCCATGTTATATCAGCCCCTCTGTCTCCAAACCAGCAACCAGGGCTTCAAACCCTCCTCACGCTTCAATCTCTTCTGCCTCCAATTTCAGTAAAAGCGTAGACTTTTAAGTGACTTGATTGGGACAAGCTGGACAAACTCTCTACTTTAGGATCAATTAATTATATATGCAGAGACCCTCTTGCCGTGTAAAGCAATATTCACACCGGTTTCAGGGATTAGAGTGTGGACCTCTTCAGGGGAACCATTCTGCCTGTTATCACATTTTAATGTCCCTCAATTTTAGGATGTTTAATTCATTAACATATAATTCCTTTAAAAATAGGAATTATACTGGATATACTGGTTTGTAATTGACTTTTTCATGAAACAATGACTGGCATCGCTGCATATTTTAATATAATGTGCTCAGTGTTCATTATTGTCCAAGTGTCAAGCCCACTGGGATGCTCTTGGCTAAGAGTGAAGAATTCCACATAATTTTGTACCCCTAATACTTAAAGCACAAAAATTCAGAATGACTTAGCATCTTAAAAAATCTGGAAGATTTAGTGTTGGTCATACAAAGTCACCCTTACTCATTTGTATTCTTCTTACTTTCTTGAGAAGAGACAAAGACCTAAGGTCTCATTCCAGGAGTTATGTATGACTTTGATCTGAATGTCATTCAGGGTATACATCTTGAGAAGGAAAAGATTGAGAAGCTTTGCTTTACTCTAAACTGAGATATGGTTTTTAATGACTGTGTTGTATTCAATTATGAGAAAGGACAAATATTTTAACCAAATCTATATTTTGGAAATAATTAATAATATTTGGTAACAACTCAATATTTTTTTGAACATAGATCCTTGGATAAGGCCAAAATATAAATATTTTAATGATTATAAATATATACTATGTAGCTGCTATCTAGAATGAATATTCTACTTTAAATTCTCACTGATTTTATACAGAAACACCTATTTTACTCTGTCATCTCCATAATAAATGATGAACATACTTTAACTGTAACACTGGCAGATGTCTTTTAAAGATATTTGGTATCTTAAGTAGTTATTTATCCTTAGATTGCAATGAGTTTTCATCGAAACTGAATTTTTCTTCTTTTAAAATTATTTTTTTATTTTTCATTTTTATTTTATTTATTTATTTTATTATACTTTAAGTTCTAGGGTACAGGTGCACAACATGCAGGTTTGTTACATAGGTATACATGTGCCCTGTTGGTTTGCTGCACCCATCAACTCGTCATTTACACTAGGTATTTCTCCCAGTGCTATCCCTCCCCCAGCCCCTCCACCCCTGGACAGGCCCTGGTGTGTGATGTTCCCCACCCTGTGTCCATGTGTTCTCATTGTTCAGTTCCCACCTATGAGTGAGAATATGTGGTGTTTGGTTTTCCGTCCTTGTGATAGTTTGCTGAGAATGATGGTTTCCAGCTTCATCCATGTCCCTGCAAAGGACATGAACTCATCCTTTTTTATGGCTGCGTAGTATTCCATGGTGTATATGTGCCACATTTTCTTAATCCAGTCTATCATTGATGGACATTTGGGTTGGTTCCAAGTCTTTGCTATTGTGAATAGTGCCACAATAAACATACATGTGCATGTGTCTTTATAGTAGCATGATTTATAATCCTTTGGGGATATACCCAGTAATAGGATCACTGGGTCAAATGGTACTTCTAGTCCTAGACCCTTGAGGAATCACCACACTGTCTTCCACCATGGTTGAACTAATTTACACTCCCATCAACAGTGTGAAAGCGTTCATATTTCTCCACATCCTCTCCAGCATCTGTTGTTTCTGACTTTTTAACGATCAACATTCTAACTGGTGTGAGATGGTATCTCATTGTGGTTTTGATTTGCATTTCTCTAATGACCAGTGATGATGAGCTTTTTTTCATGTGTCTGTTGGCTGCATAAATGTCTTCTTCTGAGAAGTGTCTGTTCATATCCTTTGCCCACTTTTTGATGGGGTTGTTTTTTTCTTGTATATTTGTTTAAATTCTTTGTAGATTCTGGATATTAGCCCTTTGACAGGTGAGCAGATTGCAAAAATTTTCTCCCACTCTATAGGTTGCCTGTTCACTCTAATGATAGTTTCTTTTGCTCTGCAGAAGCAAATTCTTAACGTTGTATGTCTTCCTTTCTTCCTTCCATCTTGCCTTCCTTCCCTCATTCATTCCTTGATTTCCTCCTCCTCTTTTTTTTAATTGCTTTTGTTTAAAAACAGCATAGTACTATGGTTACAAAGTAGATAGCAAGATCCAGTAAAAATCAATGTGATGTTAAATTTAAAATAAATTTGCTATTATTCTGGATCCCCAAAATAACAATATTATATGTGACTTTATAGGAATATAGGAATGCTTTTTGAATTAGCAGAAAAACATATGGCATTAATGTGCAAGGAAGAATTATGCCACATACTCTAAAAGTTCTCAAAATTGATATCCATGAATCTTTTTATCTGTGCAGTTTAAAATGAATGTCTTTTTTTCTTTTGAAAATTATTTTACTGAGATATATTGATTTTATTTTTGAAGTACTGGAGTTTCCCAGGTTCCTTTAAACTTTCTTCTTAGATTTGCTACAAGATTTTTACACTGTCATATTTTTGTAATGTACACTTGAAATACATATGCAATGTTGTTAAGTCTACATTTCTTGTTTTGAGAATTTGACATTCAAAATATGTATTAGTGTTCTAAAATATGTTTCTGCCTCCAAAGCCACTGCTTAGCATGGCTGGGTGTTACAGAAAATGCTGTGTGGCTGTGAAGTATGAAGCATTACTAATATCTCTTAGAATATAAAATGAATTTGTTTTCTAAAGTCAATGTGATTCTAGGTCCTCAGAATTTTTATATAGCTACTTAGATGACAGAGTTGTAGTTAATAGTTTGAGAAGTAGGTTTTAATATCTGTGGTATTGACATAGTTGTTACTCAGTAGATTACAAAAAAGAAAAATCTTGTATCCAATTAGAAATAAACATTCTGTAAGAATATAACTTCCCAGTTAGTCTTGGGAGATGGCAGTTCAAGAAGTACTTTGTGAAATATTCTAAAGGATTAACATAGTTCATCATTTTATGCAATGGCAATACATATATTATACAATACATTCCTATTTTTACTCATGTAGTTCTTCATATAATGCATCTAATATTTTAAGGGCTTATATCTGTAATTTGACTAGGTCATTTGTTTAGTTATATTTGAATTTTCAGACAATCATTAAAAAATTGTGGAAGGGTCACTGTTTTATTCTCTTATTATTTTAAAAAAAATAATTAATTAATTAATTATTTATTTTTTCCATCCAGAGTAATTTTGTTTTAAAGTTGTAGGATGATAATATTTTTACATCTGTCACATAAAATTAATATTTTTAAGCAATGTCACATTTTGAATTGTATTACAAGTCAAGAAAAGATGTTATTATTTTAACACATGATATTTTGATATTATCCCAAATAGATACAGTTGTGATATTTTCATAGTTTAACTATAAACATATTTTAAAGTGCCATTTATTTTTATTTTATTTTATTTTATTATTAATATACTTTAAGTTTTAGGGTACATGTGCATAATGTGCAGGTTAGTTACGTATGTATACATGTGCCACGCTGGTGTGCTGCACCCATTAACTCGTCATTTAGCATTAGGTATATCTCCTAATGCTATCCCTCCCCCCTCCCCCCACCCCACAACAGTCCCCAGAGTGTGATGTTCCCTTTCCTGTGTCCATGTGTTCTCATTGTTTATTTATTTATTTTTGAGACAGAGTCTCACTCTGTTGCCTAGGCTCTAGTGCAGTGGTATAATCCTGGCTCACTGCAACCTCTGCCTTCCGGGTTCAAGCAATTCTGCCTCAGCCTCCCAAGTAGCTGGGCCTACAGGTGCCCAACACCATGCCTGGCTCATTTATGTATTTTTAGTAGAGAAGAGGTTTCACCATGTTGGCCAGGCTGGTCTCAAACTCCTGACCTTGTGATCCGCCTGCCTTGGCCTCCCAAAGCTCTGGGATTATAGGCGTGAGCCATTGTGCCCACCTGGGGCACTGTTACTTTAACAACAGACCATGTGGACCACTTTGTTGAGCACTCATATTTCATGGGAGGCAAGTTTGAAAATTTTTATTTTAGTGCAGATGTGTACAGCAGCATTTTCCAATGAGTTTGACATGGTTATGCTCTGTTCGAATTATGTTTGTTTATTTCACAAATTACAGGTGCAGCAGTATAAATACTAGAGCTTTATGCCGCTAGCTCAGAATTAATTTTTACAAATTGGAAAATGTTAATACATTGATTTTTAAAAGTTGAATTTAACAAGCATTTATGAGCTCTAATTTTGTGTATTAGAAGAATCATTAATAAAATAACCAGTACTTATTGAGCACTAATATGTGCAGTTTAATGCTTTATTAATGATTTTTTTAACAGTCAAGGAAACTGAAATTAACAAAATATAAGTAACTTGCATGAATTTCAGAAGTTTTCAGGTAATAGAAGCAAGATTCAAATTCACTTTTTACTCAGATCTCACAGTCTTAACATTATTCTACTCTACTGCTCTAGAAACACTTGTTTTCTCCTGACCCTTTTATCCCATTCTTCACAAACTGTCATTCTCAAATTTCAATCTTCATCCAAAACCCGTAGAAGGGTTTGTTATATAAAACACAGGATATTAGACTCCAGTCCCAACAGTTTCTGCTAGTAGTTTAGGTGCATACCTATAATATATATTTCCAAAAAAAAAAACCTAGGTGATATCAATGCTTCTTATCCGGGGACCATGCTTTCAAGACCACTGCCTACAGTTTCCCTTATGTTTATTGATAAAACGGGTGGTATCCATTGTTTGAGTTCTATTACTATTCTATACACCTGTTCTAGTTAAACAAGATTTAGACACCTGTGAGTCCAGATGTCACTGATTTGAAGATGATATTAAATATTCTAGTACCTTCTTCAAATGCTTGTTAATTACCTATCACATAAAAGTCCTAATTGATTAATTTATTACTCATTAACTGGCAGAGCTGTTTCAGTCAGTCTAGACTAGACATAGTTTGCGAGTTTAGAAATGTATTCTGGAGAATTGATTGATATGTTATCTGATTATAAAAATAGAAATAAAAGAAGAGGTCTGGCTGCCGAGCCATGTACATATCTAGTATTCCACTGAAGATGCATGGAATATAATTGTATATTCATTATAATTGAATTATTGTATCTATTTTTTCATTGTTAATGGTATATTGTTTCTTTATTACTTCACCTATAGGCTATTGGATAAAAAATGTTTACTATTGCCCTTTTTATTTTATACTTTGAGGTAAAGCCATTTCTACAAATAAACAATTTCTTGTAGTGTCTTAACATCCCCACGTGGAATGTTTTTTAAAAATCATGTAGCTTATTCTAAATCTATTCTAGGCAAATGTTAAAATCATTTTAGTTAGAAATAGAATGGGATCAGGCTTCAGTAGATGCCATTAGAAGTGGTGGTTTGTACTAGGAAGGATTCTTCACTTCTACATCTGTTTAATAAGTTTCACACTTTAAAACTCATTTTATTATCACAACTGAAGAAAGAGATAGTAAAAATGTGGAGGGATCTAATAAAATCTAGCCATATAATATTTGGAGAGGGAGATGGGAAAGGGAAGGAGAGACAGGTAAGACGTACCATTAAAACAGACAAGCACACGATAATTCATGGATGCTGATTACCTGACCTTTTCTTGCAGCAGACTACTCCTGTGAGACAAAAAGGCTAGTAAGAATACCTAGAATGTACTTTAGATATTATTTTTGAGCACTAATATAGTTAGCCTCAATGATAATTGCTTTTAAGCAGGCCACACATACGCTACACACACAGACAAACAAAACACACATTCATCCACAGGGATGACTGCCATGTGCAAACATACACTGAAAACCTTCTCCAAGGCAATGTCCTTCAACATCTTTTAAAAATGCATTTTAATTGCCATTGTAACTGGAAACCGTTTGCACTCAAAATTAAAATAATCTTCTTTTGCTATTCAGGATATCGATTATGTTATGTCCTATCACTTGGATTTAATTAGATGTATTTTTTTTCCATGCCGAAGGAGGTAAAACCTTAGATATAAATACTGAAAAACAAGCACCAATATTTCACTCATCCAGAAAGAAGTGGCTTTCCACATTATTCGCTTGTGTACAATTCTTTTTTCAGTTTTTCTATCTTACATTAAACTCATTTACTCATAACATATCCAAGCTGAATGCTGCTTTTGGCTAGAGGTAATGGTGTAAGCACTTTTTCCTGCCTTGTTAATCCCAGCCTTCCACATACAAGAAACTTTATTTGAAATCTGATCTCACACTGAATATTCTTATTCTTATCTCAGGTGTCAACATTATCCCATGTCCCATCTCAGAGCATCACATCTTACGTGATCATATTGTGATAAATCATAGCGTTCTACAGTATGTTCTTTGTTTTTCTTATAGCATTTTATTGTTGTACTGTATTTGTTAAAAACTGTATCATAATACGTAATGTCTGACATCAAGAGATCATATCTTTCCTGAACTGTTTGCTTCTATATTCTGTACCTTATGTCTCTTTCTGTTTCCATCAATACCTTTCAGGCATAAGGAAAAGAAGGACACTGATTTTCAATTAATAGTCTCTGGCCCAAACCCTCTATTAGGTACAAATATATTAAATAGATCATTTTTCTCAACCTATGTCAGTGTTTCATAAGGCAGGAATTATTTTTACTTTGTATATGGAAAAAAGGAAACCCTGAGATGCTAAGTAAATTCTTTGGTTTGTTAAATTGAATGTAAAACATATTTCTGGGCATACGTATTGGGGGATTGGATAGTCCTTGTTTTTTCTGAGTGCATTGGTTGAGGAGAATCCTTTGCCAATATAGTAATGCACAGAGGCTCTGCCTATGCAACCTTGAAGACCCTCCACATACATGCACACACACACCACTCACACACACACCACACAGACACACATACACATACACACACACAAACACAAACACACATCACACATATACACACACCACACACACACACCACACAGACACACATACACATACACACACACAAACACAAACACACATCACACATATACACACACCACACACACGCACACATAGACACACACACACACAGACACACACACACACACCACACACATGGCACACACAGACACAAACACCACACACAGACACACGGCCAGCCGAAGTTTGGAGAAGGAGGCAGCATGGAGAAAAGGGGAGTCTGACACCAGCGAGTTTGTGAGGAAGGGGAAGGCCAAGGACTTCTAGGGGCACCGGGCTCTGACATAAATGTCTGTTGGGGGTGAATAAAGTCCTGCTGTGTAAAATAGGCTCCTCTTGAATGCCCTCCATATGAAGTCATCCTATGAAGTCTAAAAAGAAAATCACAAATTGCTAAGAAAGATGAAGTTTCTTAGGAAAAACAATGTCAAAATGAGCACCTTGTACTGCCTGGCATGCAGTCAGGACGAAGCAGTGGGACGCAGTCTCTTAAGTGTGGGGCCGTAGTGGAAGCCACGGCCAGTTGGCATGGAAATCACTTCATTCTCTGAGCCACACAGAAAGTATCCCCAGGTCTTCAATTGTGTTTTGACAGCTACGGAGCAGCTGTCTACTCCGGCAAATGCGTCTAATGTGCTGTGAAGATTCCTTAATTCTGATAATTCACTGCTCTTATAAAAAAGTCATGTAAAATAAAATATCATTTAGGGAGAGAATGTAGCTTCTCATGAACTCTGGTGAGGACCCATTTCCTGGCCTAGAAGTTCACCTGTGATCTATGTCCCCTGCCCACCTGGGCTGTTGGGACTTCTGTGGGTCCACTGCTTACCCAGTGTTTTAGACAGATTTCCTCCAAATTGCTCCATTTTCTCTAACAGCCCTAGCATTATTGTGATTAATTTGACTGCAATTGAGTTTTATTACGAGACTGAAATTTGTCTTTGACTTTGGCAGGGAACTTGCCTCTTTGTCATCATCATTTCTAGCCAGCCAGCCGGAGCTGTGGTGCCAGACAGTGCAAGCGACAATCAGCCTACCCAGATTGAAGGTGTGTGTGTGTAGGGCCTGCAGAGAGGGACAGTGATGAGGCAGGGAGACGGGGGGGAATTTATGCGGGGAGTTGGTCCAATAGTCATTAGAAAATAGTCACAGGAGGACAATCCAAAGTTGAATGAAGTAAGAGCATCACTTGGTGACTGACAGTTTTAATTAATTCATTAGGAAAGAGTGTACCTAAATTATCTTGTACCATACCTGTCTCACACTGTCTATCCTGAGTCAAACCAATTAAACATTTAAACATAAAATAGGGTGATATTTCATTAAGCATAATAACGTGCATTTCTCAGCTCAAAAATATGTCATATCACCAAACGTTGCAGAAAAATGAGCAAATGAAATAAATATGGAATCCACAATAGAAGAAAAATTATAAAAAATATATAAAAACTTCCAATTCCAAACTTTACAGAAATTGTTAAATAAACTATATTTATATTATGAAATGTTAATTATTCATTAAACCCCCATTTTCTGAAAATTATGGTGTCATAATTATATAATGATAGTATGATATTGAGTATGAAAAGTATGATATTAAATGATATAATGCAAATTTTGCACCCTTTTTATGGACGTGTTTAAAGTTTGTAGCAGTGCAAAATTTTAACATATTTCTTTCTGAATGGAGGTAATAGGAGTGATTTTTTTTTTTATTTAATTTTATTTTGCTGTGATTTCTACCAGGATAAAGGTGTAATCATGTATACTTAGAAAAAAAAATTTAAATTCTTCTGCAAATCCAAGAATAAGTGGAGGTTTGGCATTACCATTAGAGATTTTTATTTTTATCTATCATGTTGGGCCAAAGTATTACTGCCATTTTTTTCCATTTATATTTTAGTATAGTTCCAATATTTAGAAACTCCTTTAATGTAAGTTAGAGAAAATTGGACATATAATATTTAGGAAAAAGAAAATGCAGTGTAAAAAATAAAGAATAAAAAAGTTTTCTCTAGAAAGCTTGAAATCTGGCACCATTATGTGAATATGGGGCAGGGGAGCCTTTAATACCAGTGTGAGCTGGAGAGCAGGAGGGGTGAGCACAAGGCTTGATAAAGAACTAAGACTCTAACCCATACATTCTGCAGCAAGATTTCTTCTGATCTTTATGTTCCTGGGGACCATGGAAACTAGCCAAGGGATTGGTATTTCTGCATGCTAAAGTGTAGCCTCATGCAAACCTTTAAAAAGAAAAATACCTGAGGAAAAATGTGAAATTTCTCAATTTCAGATATTCAAGGGCTTCCTGATTGGTCTCCCTGAGATCACTCACCTTTTCTTGGATGATCAATATTACAGGATAAATTGTGTTTCCTAAAAATGTTTACATTGAAGTCCTAATCTCCAGTGCATCATAATGTGACTTTAGTTGGAGACATATGTTTAAAGCGGTAATAAGGTTAAGGTGAGGTTATGAGGGTGAGCCCTAATCTAATATGACTGGTGTCCTTTAAGAAGTGGAGATGAGGACACAGACAGACATAGAGGAAGGATCGTGTGAAGACACAGGGGGAAGACAAACATCCACAAGCCAAGGAGAAAGGCCTTAGCAGAAACCAATACTGCTGACCTTAGACTTCTAGCCTCCAGGAATGCAAGTAAATAAATTTGTGCTGCTTAAGCCAACCAATCTTGGCAGTTTGTTATGGCATCCCTAGCAAACTAATGATGCAGGAGTTTTTCTTAACCCCTTCATCGGACTTGTGACACGGATGCCCCATTTACTTGGCCTGTCATGCTCAACCTCTTGTACAAAGAATGCACTTTGGGCACCAGCAAGAGCAGGCTTCATGTGGACCCTGAGGCGATGGTGCCTAGGTGGGGGTGCCTGCGGCCCCCAAAGCCCCAGAGGGCATATTACAATGCTCTCTTAGCTCCACCGTCTGTGGACATTGTTATGTTATCAGCTCAGTGGGCCTCTTGCCTTGTCGCGTGGGGCTGCTGCTGTCCACCAGTGAGGGCAAAGGACTAGTGTGACAGCCTTTTTTGGGTACCTACACTTGGTGGGTCCTGAGCTCTTGTCCAGCGTCCAAGAAGAATGAGGTTGCACGGACACTTGAAGGATAATGGAGGTAGATAATTTTATTCAGCGAAGGAAATGGCTCTCGGCAGAGAGGGGAGCTGGAGAGGGGATGGGGCAGGCAGATAATCTTCCCTGAAGTCTGGCCCTCTCCGGCTGGCTCTTCCCCAAAGTTAAGCCATCTCTCCTCTGAAGCCCAGCCATCCCTCTGAAGTCAAGTCACTTCTCTCCAGTCAAGCTGCTTCTCTCTCTCTACCAAATGAGTCTGGGTCTTTATAGGGCACAGGATGTGGGGCAGAACAGGCTGTAGATAGTTTTGGAAAAGGCAACATTCTATTGGTAAAAAGACGTTATTCAAAAAGAAAGAATCAGGAGAGAATGGGCAAACAGGGATAGAAGTTCTCACTTTGGGCCACAGGTTTCAGGCTTTTGACTTGATGGTGGGGTTTCACCAGGGACTCACCCACCCCTGTCTGCCCAGAATTTCTGTTTCCTGCCTCTATCATTAACACAACCACCAAGCCATCCTATTCACCTCTGCCTTATAAAAATATGAAATACTAGCTCTTTTCCTGTTCTAAAAGTGCTTTTGACTGGTCTCTGTGGTCTACAGATTAATAATAATCTCTATATGCTTATTAGAATTGGCATTATCAAGGATATTACATATATATCCTTATTTAGTATTTATAATATCTTAGTGAGATAGAGATTTTAAATTTCATTTTAGAGTAACTGAGCTTAATTAATTGCCCAGTGTCACTATGAACAAGTCTCCCAGTGTTGAGATGACACTTTCATTTTAGTTTTTATTATTCAATGTGTAAATTAAAAGAGTTGGAGTCTTGAAGGTTTGCGGAACTTGAAGTATTGTCTTTTCAAGGTTTTCCTATTGTGCTAGTTAAAATACTTATTGACCAGGATGAAGTCAGACCTGCTGAAGTTTACATCAAGGATGGTGGAGAGAAATTAATTTGTGGGCCTGTCTCATCTTCTCCTCAACAAAACCCAGTATGGGGGTCTTGGAGACAAACAGACCTGGGGAAAATTCCTGCTGTAACAACTGACCAACTCTGCCATCTGGCACAATTTCTCTTAGCTGCAGTTTTGACCCTTTAAACTGAGAATAATAACTAGTTTATGGAGGTGTGATGAATAAATGATTGGCTGCATGCAAAACAGCAGAGTGAAGTAGAATAAGCAGTGCGTGTTGGCTGTTAGTATCATCTGATATCATGTGGGGATGATCAAAAGACAGAGAGCCCACTAAAAAGTACTTTCTCAATGTCTATAAAAGGTAATTGATTTAACTTGAAATAGTTTAGACTGGGGGGAGATAGTAAAAATATCATTTCATCTTCCTCATAGACCTGAGCTGAAGCTACCCTTACTAACCTGCTTTTGTGACGGAATCAAAGCTTACTTAATTCCCAAGGTCAGGCAGCTACTAACTGGTACAGTAAGGTAGCCAACTCTGGCAACCGAGTTCTACATTTTCACAGCTACTTCAGTCAAATCCTGATTCAAGGCTGTTAACTTTCACACTTCTCAAGTGTCTGTCTTGTTTCCTCAGAACCAAGCCAGTGGTAGATAACGTAGAAACCATGTAATAACCGTAATTGGCAAGGCTTCACTTTTCCTACCTCAAGTTACATGTCACCACAGGATATGCAAGGAAAAAGAGAATTTTCCAGTTCCTTTTCCCATCTGGGTCAGGGAATGGCCAAAAAATGATCACAGCTGAGAAATTTATGTCCATGTTTAACATCCTTGCAGAGCCTACTTTGCAAGGAGGTAAGACTACCTGTTGTCACTGGTATTTTCTTTTACTAAAATATAATTTCACATTTAGAAGCTAATAAGGACCTGAAAAGTTAGCTATGCTATTTATCATAAAGGTAATACTATTTTTTTGCAGTGATGGTGCTTCCTTTCCTGATTTTGAAGTAGATTGTCTCTAAGAAGAGAAATGATATTCCCCTGAAAATCATATGGCCTTCAGGAGGTGGGGGTGGGAGGTCATGAGGTTCTTTGGATTTGTGGGAAAGACGCAAAGATAATATATCAAAGAAGTTAATGAAAATCATTTACCCAGATGTGTTTATCAAAGATATAGTGTTTATTCATTACCTCTACCACACACCCCATTTCAAATCATTTCTTAAACCTAAAAACAGAAATTATACACGCACAGACGGCCTCTAACTTATGACGGTTTGACTTACCATTTGTTGACTTTAAGATGGTGTGAAAGCAATACACATTCAGTGGAAACCATACTTAGAATTTTTAATTTTGATGTTGTCCCAGGCTGTCAGTAAGCAGCAGGATACTCTCATGATGCTGGCCTGAAGCAGTGAGCCACAGCTCCCAGCCAGCCAGGCAATCTCAAGGGTAAACAACTGACACTACACTCTACAGTGTGTTGCCAGTGTGTTTGTGTTATGTATTTCTGCAACCCATCATGTCTATAAAACATCCATCTGTGGCAGTACTCAACACATTATTATAAAACAAGCTTCGCATTAGATGATTTCGCCCAACTATAGGCAAGTGGAAGTGTTCTGAGCATGTTTGAAGTAGACTAGCCTAAACTGTGATGAGCCATAGGTTAAGTGTATTAAATGCATTTTCAGTGTGTGCTATTTTCAATTTTGGATGGGTTTTTTTTTTTCAGGACATAACCCCATTGTAAGTTAAGGAGCATTTGTATTATTTTTCTAGCCCATCATCTCTGCCAGATATTTTTTAATCTTTGAGATTCCCAATTTTATTTGACTATTTCACCCAGGGTACCACTAATCACAATGGCAATGCCAACTGAATTCAGGCATTCTATTGTTTCTCTTTGCTCTCTTTTAGCAATTAAAGAAGGATATAAAACTTGATACTTTGGGACACTTCGTTTTAAACTTCGGGAGTAGGACTTAAGGATTCTGAAGCTGAGGTGGTAACAGCTATATATCCTGCCAGAATTGGTCTCTGAGCCCCAGCCTGCTTCTCCATCAAGTCATAAAAGTGTGCGTTCTGTGTACTATTGCCTTTAAGGGTCTGTCTGAACTACTTCTCCCAGAACTACTTAGTTCATTTATCTCTTCTCCAGTGTGGACTCTGAATCAGATTTGCTCTCTGCCTTGTTCCCAGGATTTTCAGATTTTTACTTGCTTCTCATTTATTCATCCATCCCACACTTTGGCATTTTCTATGTGCCAGGCATTATGATGGACTTCAGGGATAGTTACATGGCTCAACAAGATAGACATGGACCCAGTCTTCCTAGAGTTTTCAGCCAAATTGTAGTACCTGTGAGACAGAAAAGCCTAGCACCTCTTGCAAGGCAGGAAGCAAAGTAGAGGAGACAGAAATGTGCAATGTAAAGCCTTTTCCTTCCAAAATAAGGAGTGGAATTTGAAAATAATTATGACATTTATTTTTAAATATATAGTCCCTACCCAGTGTTCTGGGATATATCTTTGACATGGGCAAAAACAAAAACCTCAGCTTCAGCCAAAACAACTCATTCTATGCCCCTAGTCTAGATTATTGCATTTTCTTACCCCAAATTTACATACAATTCTTCTTCCAGAGACATGTATGATAGGGAAGGGACCCCAGAATGCTTCCTGTTGCCAGATCAACACTTTCAAACTCCTCCTTGCCCTCCTCTGAATTCTTCTAGCGTAACTGCCATAGAAAGCATGCTAAATATTATTGCTTTGAGACAGAAAAACTTGGCATTTAATTTTAACTTCACCACTCTACTTAATACCTCTGGGTTTAATTTTGCCATATGAAAGGCCAATCTAGATAAGTGGCACACGTTTACTGCATTATTGTAAAATTTAAATGAGATAATATTCATAAAAGCCCTCCAGCAGTTAATATGTGTATTATTTCTTTGCTTAGTATGACTTGAAAATAGTGAAATCTGTACATTTTATTAAAAACAACAAGAAAAAATTCCCTGCTTTCATAACTTGCCAGTTTTATTGACTTGCTGTGTAACTCATGGTTGAAACAATGCAGATTTATATTTAAGGTAGAAATTCTCTTTTGCTCATTTCAACCTAATTACACCAAATTTTGCCTTCCTTCCTTTTTCCCCCACCTTAACCATTCTCCTTTTTCCCTTGTGGCAAAATCTAATGATTCCTATCTTTAATCATGAGCAATTAAGTCACAGTGGAATATCTCTTTGCCTCTGGAATGCATGGTAACCTCATACTCTGACTTATGAAACTGGAAACGTAAATTACAGCATAAAATATTTATCAATTAAAATTGTGTTAATTTTTTTAAATCCAGGTAATTTTTAACAACTTTTATTCCAGGAAATTATAAGTCTATATTTGCTATGGTTTCTACCATTAAATATATGTATACACATATGCATACATATATATATATACTATATACATATATAATATTTAATATAAGTTTAATTTTACAATGAACCCAATGTACCAGGTTGGTGCTTTTTAATGAGAAATATATGTAATAGAATGTTTAATAAATCCATGAAATATTAAACCTAACTTAGTACTTGGGAATCTTAAATCCCTCATTAATTTTAAGAAAGGATGATAAATATAAATATATATATATATTTTATATATATATATATATAAAATGTGCTTTTAGTGATGCATTATTTGAGCCTTAATACATTTAAAAGAATGGCTAGACCAGTGAGCCTAAAGGACGTTAAAGATCTTTCCTATTCTGGATAGAACAGAAGTGAAGCTGATGCATTTTTCAGTGTCTGTTATCTACCAGATACTGTGCTAGTGGCTTCATAATCTTGGTCTCCTCTAATCTTCCAGCAACCCCATTTTAAAATGCCAAAATAGCCACTTAAGGATAAGGACAGCAGCATCTCTCAAGGCTAACTTCCTCTCTCATACCTAGTAAGTGGAAAAACAGAGGCTTGTATGATATTTAAACATAGCCTATGCACTTTTCTATTTCCTACACTGCTTTTAGTTAGAAAAGAAAAAAAAATGATCACAAATCACTGGTAAACATCTGCAACATAGAATAATGCTTCTATTATCCAGAATTTAATTAAATACACAGATACTTTTTTTAGTACCAAGTTGGTTTATGTTAGAGTGTAACTAATATGCTCTTCATAGAAATGCAGAAAGACAAGTGGTTAAAACTATTTGTGTAAAACATGATATTATAGCCTTGGAAGTGAGAATCAGGTATGAAGCAATCCTTCTTAATGTAGGGCCCAGCTTTGCTTGGCCACTTTAGAGATGGAGTGTTTCAGTCCTTGTCCTTGTTTTCCATCTGTCTGGTCTTTGGAAAGCAGAACAGATGTAAATGGTAGAGTTCTGAGCCATTCAATTAGATTTCATGCACCACTGACCCAAACATTTCTCCTCAATCTTATCTGAGTTGGTGGCAGATGTGCAGCATGTCAGAAAGCATTTTCAAATTAAAGATGGAAACATATTGTATGTTGGTTGATATGGTCACAATATGTGTAAGTGGTAAAATATGTCACCACTAGAGCAACAACTATGATGCAAGAAGGAACAGGAAAAATGGGCATTTCACATTTCCTTTCCTTATTATCAGAAGACAAGAAAGTATAATTTGTCAAATGTGCATTGGAAATCATGGGCTTCCTGATATGTAATAAAGACCAATGTAAGGCTAATTGGATTGGACTCTGCATTCTGCCATTTACAGGGCTTAATCAAGGCATCTTGGTAATAGAGCTGAGTCTGTGATGATTTATGTAGATAGGGCTTTGCCATCACTGAAGATGATGAGACTTACACTCAGGGACCCTCATCATTACCCATTCACTCAGCCTCACAATCCATGGCTGACTCAAATCATGTTGTGAATCAGCTAATTAACAATGAGATCCTTGCACTTTTATAGATGATCAATTAATACTTGTCAATTTATTAAGTTTGCTTGATGGGCTTTAGCAGGTTTCTTGTTGAGGTTATGAGAACAATGATGGCATAGAAGAGAGAAAGAAGCAAATATATATGTAGATAACCTACCGGCTGTATGGACCCTGGGCTTAATGGAGATCTCAGTACACCCTGGGGAAAGGTGAGGCCCAATAAAGGCTTCCATACTGACCATGAAGAGTGTTTTGAACCTGATCCAGGATCTGAAGTTCTGAAATCACCCACATATTGTGTCATTATCAATGAGAGTATACAAAGAACAGTCAAAAGGAAATAAACCCATGCACAGGTGTTACCTAAAGGATTTCTTCTCTTGGGGGTAAGTGTGAATTCACTTGAGTAGAGAGCATTACCTTTAAAAATTATAGATTAAAAGAATTACAAGGGATATTACAACTAATTTTTTCTTCTTTCCATTGAGTGTTTGGGACCCATTTCCACACCCTGCAACATACACACAGAATAACTTTTAGGTCCATTTATTCCCAAAATATTGAATTTGATGTCCTCTAATTCCTGACTCATGACAGTCAAGAGCAGAGGCCCGTACAAACCAATTTCTTGGTACCTCTCTTCTTCCTGGTTCTGCCAATACTGAGTTTCCTCTATCAGACTCACAGTTGACCTGTTAACATAGGTCATGCTAGTTTCCTGTAATATTTTCCTCCTGCTCAAATCTGGTACTTTCCACACATTTATTTTTCTATTATCAGCTACCTTGAGAAAGACAGGAGATCATATATTTAGCTATTTAGCTATTTTTTTTTTTACCATATTGATGTTCATTGTAGTTTAAATAACTCTACAGTGGTTGCATTTTAATAAGGCTGCTCCTGACAACAGTCCTGACCGATTTTGGAAAGATACCAAAAATAAAAATAAGGATCTCCAGAAGTCCTGTGGACTCTGTCGTTGGAGCTGGAGTGTGCCTCCATCCGTAGACTTCCTGCCATGGTTTCCTTCCAGCACATTTTCTTCAGGGCATGGAGGCTGAAAATGCCTGACTTCTCCATTTAAATCACTTTAAGCAAAACACAGATTATTTAAGCATATCTTTTGCATCCTCCATGCCCAGTAGTAATTTTGCAAAATTACTGGGAATCTATTTCAGGGCAAACTTGGCATTTAAATTAGGTGGTTTTAATTAGCATCTTGACTGCATGCAGTCAACAGCATGAAGAGAAGGACAGGGAAAAATCACATCAGCTTATATTTTTGCTGTAGAAAAAAATAAATAAAACAATAATATGCTGAAAAAATAACCTCAAATAATTCAAAGCAAGATGGCTGGCAATTTTCTGGAATTAGAATGATAAACTTTATCATATATTGAAATTGTTATATACTGCAAGACTCCTTTTAATTATCTTTACCAGAATTTTCATAAAGTTTACCTTTCTTCTACACAAAGAGGCCCACAGACAGTGCCATTGCAGTTATTCTAACACAGGTGCCAAATGGACTCTCACATACATCCCTTCCCCCTCCACTGTTAAATATTACCCATCATTCAAGCCATGACTTAAAAACTCACTTCTAGGTTATATAAAGGTAACCTTAGCCACAAATGTCATCTCTCTGTAGCTTGAGAACTCCCACAATATTCTCATACAGTCATATGGCAAAACAAGAACACCAACACCATTCATTGTTTACCAGTTCTAGGCAGTACAATCTCAGTGCTTTTCCGGAATTGCCTCATTTAACCTTCACAGCAGCCAGATGAGGTGTGTGCTACTATAGTGTCCCATTTTACAGGTAAGGAAACAAAGACGCTTTACAAAGTGTAAGTGTCTTGCCCAAGGTCACAGCTAGTAAATGGGAGAATTGGGTTTGAACTCACAGTCTTTGCACCACACACTACATTATATTGTGAGGTGGAGAGAGTCTCTCAATATCATGGAATATGTTTTACATATTTTCATGTGATTTGAATTTTAAAGATAGTGATTGGAAGTGAACTATGAATAATTTCATTTTATATATATTTTAGTTATCAAAACATTGCCGTTAGGCTTTTTCTGCAGTAAATGATTACATTACAAAGCTGTTCAGGAGACGTTATTTTTTTAATCATTCTCTAGCATATTTTTCCTTTTGTCCTTTTATACTGGTAAGAACATCCAGATTCTCAGATGGGCTTAGCTGCAGCCGTGGAGTATAAACAGGATGGAAAAATAGGGTGTTAACCATTATTTGAGTTGGCTCTCACCATCCCATGGAACTAGAAGCAATTTAGAAACAGGTGGCCACAGAGTTTGCTCAAGAAAGTCCTGCCAAACCAAGATAGGGACTTTACTGACTTCTTCTTACTCTGCTGATGCCACTGTACAGAGCTCAGATGAACCTTGGTTGTTGACTTTACTGCAAGAAAAAAAAAAGCGGTTCCACATACACACTCTTTCAACAGCTTGTTGAATTCCAGGCACACTCTGGGAAGCCCTTAGAAGTGATGACCTCATGCAGAGAGGAGGCTGGAAGCTCTGTCATTTCAGGAACAGTTACGGAAGTAGGAGTGCAATTGAAACTTTGGGGACTTTATTTACCACTGTATTCAATGACTTCAACAGCTTCAATATGGAAGGAGGATTTAATTTCTTTTGTGCAGGATAAACAAGAGAAAGATCTGGCTCAATATTAAGAAGAATATAAAATGGTCACAGAGTGTATTGGAAAAAGCACAGAAATTTATTCAGAACACTTGATTCTGAACTGAGACCCTGGTCTTGCTGCTGTCTTCCCATAAGGTTTTTCTGCTTAGACTTTCTGAAATTCATTTATTCAAATGTTAAGTGAGCATAGTAATATCTATCTTTTAGATTTGGGGAGGATAAAACTACTGAAAGATAAATCAGTTAGCATGCATACTAACATTAGGGAGGAGCATTCAAGGGATCAGTACAGGCTGTGCAACCTTTTCCCAGTATTGTCAAATGGGAATTCAAAAATCCAATAAACCTGTAAAATTGCTTCCAAAACAGGGACTATGAAAAATGAAAATGTCTACCATTCTCCCTGAAGTCCATTAAGGGATTCAAATACCTATAATGACTTAAATAAGTTTCTTTAGTCCGGATTTAGGAAATTGAAGGTTGAAGTACAAAAAAAGAAAAAGAAAATAAGTAATGTATGCATTTTAGTATTATCTTCTGGAAACAATTTCTTAACCTGTGTGAATTGCACAATCCTTGAACATGTGGATACCATTCTGGTCGGTAAGCAAGATGCAGAGTGCTGTAGGTGTGTACATTCTTAAATGAAACATACACCAGTGAGAAGAATATACAGGAGAGACAGAAGTATTTCTATCCATGGTAGAACTTTCTAAGCAAGTTACCCCCAAATGAGCATCCTCCTGAAGTAGTGAGTTTCCTGCCATGGATGTATATGCTTGAGTTAAAAATTCCTTGAGCAACCCCTGGGTAGGGAGGTTACACAGAGCTTTCACATACAGATGAGAGAATTGAAGTAAACATGGATTTTGAAGTTCCTTTCTACCATGATTCCATTATACTTCAGGACTTTAAAATGGGGACTAGTTGGGATAGATCTGTGAAGTTAAAACTGAAGGAACCTTCAGATAGTCTTGACAATAAGGACAGAAGTCAGAATAAAATGATTTCCTCAAGAATACCTTTGCCTCCTAAAGTCAGCCTTTTTTCTCCTCTTTGTGTATGAAGAGAAAGGGAGTGAAAAGCAGATGTCCCAATGAAGATGTGATTTTGTATCATTCTGGGGAACTGACACCAAAGGGAATCCAGGGACCCATGGACCAGGAGCCAGGATTCACCTTCTTCCCCAGCAATAAAAGGGGTGGGAGCTGCCAGCAACTAAATCGCAGTTTCCAGCCAGGGAGTATGGTGGCAACCATGCTGCCTAATACAAACAATGGGTTTGTTCCAGTGCACACCTCAAGAAATGTATTTAAATTCCAAATCCCAAATGAATTCGGAATAAGAAGAAAATGGGAGGCGCCAAAGAGTAAAAAGTCAGAGAAAAGTAAATAAAGAGGTAATTTTAGAGAAGAACAGCAATATGAAAATCTTTTCAAGATAGGGTTGTGTAACCAAGCATTTGTGGACAGGGTGAGGCAAGATATATATGGTTTTCTTTTTTTTTTTTTTTTTCAGATAAAAATAGCAGTAACTAATTAAGAAATCCTGGATCATAAGGAAAAGTAGAAAGAAGATAAGTCAGTTCTAGTCCTAGCACCTAAACAGAGCTACTGTTTATCTTTAGATAATTCCTTTCCACCAGTTATTTTCAGTGTAAGAATTTTAAGTTGGCCCGGACGTGGTGGTGGGCATCTGTAATCCCAGCTACTTGGGAGGCTGAGGCAGGAGAGTCACTTGAACCTGGGAGGCGAAGGTTGCAGTGAGCTGAGATCACGCCACTGCATTCCAGCCTGGTTGACAAGAGTGAAACTCTGTCAAAAAAAAAAAATTAAGTTGAAATAGTTTTAATGGCCAATTTTATATTTAATTTTCATATGAATCTAGACTATTTCTCTTGGTTATTATAAACCCTTCAAAAATACAATTTAATGGCTATGTAATATTCCTTAAATAGATACACATTAACTTATTCTATCTTCTGATTGTTGGACAACAAGGTTTGCTTTCATTGTTTTTACTATTCAAAAGAGGTTTTAATTACATTTTTGTTCACAAAGACTTTTTTTCTTTAAATTATACTGCTAGCCTGGGATTATTGAGTGTGAATATAATTAAAGTTTTAATATACAATGTTGCAATAAGTTTTCCAAGTGTCTTCAGATGAGCAAAAACAGTGTATGCCTTTTATCACTTCTCTGAGGCAGGGTTTTGGTTGTTACTGTAACCTTCTTTTCAGGATGAGGTCTGGGAATTAGTCATTACTCTGTCTGCTGAGAAAAAGAACCTATAGCACTTTACAGAAAGCTGCTAATTAATCCTTCCAACTCTCTAGTGTGGGAAGGAGGTAGAAATGTCTCCACTGCAGTATTTACTAAGAAATATTGTAAATGGATATGACAGACACCAATTCAAATTCCCCGGATGAGGGAGAGCCGTCTTGCTAGATGATCATGACTTCTGCTAAAAACAACCCCCATTGACTCCAGAGGTTTCCTAGAAGATTCTGGGCTGCTGCATTTGCCATGCCCATCGTCTCTATATTTTGAACTCATGAGAACCCTTGGGTCTAGTTCGGGATTCCACCCTCTTCCGAAGAGATACATACAGTCTGAAAGTAATGATAAAATTTACTAAGTCTTTCAGGCAATGTTTAAAATTTGTGCCTACAGTTTCCTTCAGCTTTTGTTTCCATTTGACTGTGGGCATCCCCAGATGCCTTCAGCCGTGGTTTTTTTTTTTTTTTTCAGTCTTTGTAATAGCTAACGCTGACCTCCACGTTGGCACTGAATTTCCTTTTTTGATCTCATGTTCTCATAAGGCAAGATAGCCCCATGCAGCCTCTGATAGGGTTCACGTGTCTTTGTTAGTTTTGTTTTTGTGATTTTTGTTTGCTTGCTTTTTTATTTGCAAGTAATTCCACACTGAAAATTTAAAAATAAAATTTAAAAATAACACCCATGGCCAGGTGTGGTGGCTCACACCTGTCATCCCAGCACTTTAAGAGGCCGAGGCAGGCAGATCACCTGAGGTCAGGAGTTCAAGACCAGCCCGGCCAACATGGTGAAATTCCGTCTCTACCAAAAATACAAAAATTAGCTGAGTGTGGTGCCAGGTGCCTGTAATCTCAGCTACTTGGGAGGCTGAGGCAGAAGAATCACTTGAACCCGGGAGACAGAGGTTGCACTGGGCCGAGATCACGCCATTGCACCTCCAACCTGGGCAACAAGAGCAAAACCCTGTCTCAAAAATTAAAAAATAAAAATGTAAAAAATAACACCCACATATCCTTTTCCCAGACTCAGCTATTGATAACATTCTAACCCATTTACTTCATCATTTTCCATCTACCAAGCGACTGTTCAATAGCTAACATTTTTTTCTGATCCATAAATGGCCTTTGGGCATATCGTATACTCTGGGCTACTATTTCATAGACTTGAAGATATATTCTGCCTGCATTTAGTTACATAAGACATCCAAATGCTTTCTCCCAGGCCCCTGATATTACTTAAAGGAGTCAGATTTTATAGCTCTATGAGCTCCCCTTTACCTGGAGTGCTTCTTTTTATTTCTAGCCCTTTTTTTAATTACACTTTCAGCTACTGCAAATACTTACTCATGTTTCAAGGATCAGCTCAAATATTCAATTTTAGGGACTTTCTATGAACTTTTCCCTGGCAGAAATTTCCTTTATTACAACTCATTATCGTATTTCATTTTCTCCTGTGTGTTTTTTTCTGGTAGTTGGTAATCTTCGCAAAAGAGAAGGACTGTGTAGTATTATATAATTTTCCTTGGTATCTAGCAATTAGTTTAGTAAATGCCATGTTTTAGGTACCCCAAAATACTTGTGAATCATAGTAATATAAATCGTCTGTCTTTGTTCATTTACGTTATTATTAATTATTTTGTTTAATCTTTTAGTTTGCTTTTCCTCTTGATGATTGACTTGGTTCATTTAATACCCCATTAACTCAGCTCTTACTCTAAGCAAGCTGCTGTGATAGTTGCTCAAGTGGGAAGTTACAACAGTTAAGAATGCTTTTGGCTGCAACACAAGAAAATCTATAGTTAAGGTATCTGGATATAGGTGATTTAGTCTTTGATGCAGTGGCTCATTGATATCATCAAGTTCTCAGGCTTGTTTGACCTTTTCACTCTGCCATTGACAGGTTTGTTAACTCATGGTCACAGGATAGCTACTGTACCTCCAAGCATCACATTTTCATCTGACTGTGTTTAAGCAAGAAATGAAGAGGTCTGGGTAAATGGAGATTTCTTTAAATTGGATGAAAATTGTTTTCCAGAAATCGTCCAGAAGACTTTTCCTTATAGTGCATTTGCTAGAACTGGGTCACATATATATGCTTAGTGGCAAGAGGTGTTGGGAAAGTAAGTACCTGGCATAGGAAAATAGAATTTCCAAGACTGTTTTAAAATAATCATTAATCATATCTGGATTGGGTCCATCATCATCATAAACAAAGCCAGGTTTCTCTGAGCAAAGAAGGGGAGACTAAGTTCTTGGATAGAAATGTCAAGTTGTACGACACAGTCACAAATCAATAGATCATTTCAGAACTCAATCCAAAACTCATATGTTCCAATAGAGTTGGGAGGGTGAAAAAGCGGACAAGTGTAACGCCATTAATCATGATCTGGAGGGTGAGAAGAGAGGAGACAGATGCCCCAGATAGATATAATTAGTATTAGTGCAGTCCACCAAGGGCTTAAAGTGTGGCCCAGGAGTCAAGATGTCCAAGCATCAGGAGTGTGTCAGCAGGCTGATGTTTACAAAGGTTAGGACTTTCTACCAGCTTATTTAAAGTCTGTTCCAGCGAGCTCTGTTTCCACGAGACGTTACTAGAAAAATGGAGGCTGTAGCCAAGTTTGGGAGATGGGCTATTTGACATTAATGTACCAAAATGTACACATTTTAAGCAGAGGTTGTAGTGGTCAGTGTTTCTGAAGCTTATTTGACCATCAATTTTTTTGTCCACAGAAAAGCCAAATACATTTGGTAAGTGTTGTGTGTCCTTAACAGCGAAAAGAGAACTGGCAAGAAAAAGGTGAAAGGCCAATCAGAGAAAAAGAACCTGAATTTTCAGGCAGATTTTTAAGAAAGATATTAAAACATTGATAACCAAAGTTCAGTGATCAGAACTTGGGCATATAGAGATTATGGTTCATAAAGGACAACGGGCCCATGAGATATTAGCAGCATGGGCCTTTGTTGTTGGATCATCTGAACACTGGACTAGAAGAAGTGTTCAGGTGAATCCTCTAAATTGTAGAAGCAATTTTCCAAGAATGAGCCATGTTCAAGGTAAAAGTGGAGTTATTTTTTTGAGGGGAGGGAGCAGTGCAATGCACAGGGTGTCCAGTCATGACTGGAAGATCAATTAAAAGCAGAATCATGGAGAGTAGAAAAGGGTGAAGAAGACACAAGGCAAGGCTTGATAATGTACATGTACACATGTGTTTATGTATACAGTACACAGAAGTATGTATGTATGCTTGTATTACACACACAGAAAGAAATCACTAGAGTCCCATATTCATTATTTATGTTGTGATCTTCAGAAGTTTAGAGGTAATTAAAAATAGCATGTCTAGTTTCACAATAATTTGGGAGATGCACATTTTTTAAAAACTCAAATTAAATAAGTTTGTTCAATATTTTTAGAGATCTCATGAAATAGACCCAGAAGAGAGCCAATGCTTTCCTCTCTAATATGTAAACATATCTTATTTAGAGAAATATAGTTAGAAAGTCTGGCAGAAATCAGTCCAATGGTTTTTCCTGAAAGCAAAGTCAACTATTGATACCTAGAAAGTTCTTTGGGGAAAGTGTAAGGAACCAGTAAGTGATTAAAGTACATATTTGACACATGTTATTCACCACATCATTAATTACTCACTTTTCCTCCATATGCAGGTCAGATGATGGTTGGATAGAGTGTTGGATTTTATAATGTTACATTGTTATAAATTGTAGGGGTAGAAGACAAGAGAAGCCATCAGGTGCACCTTTCTATAAATGTGGGTTGGGATGAGGAAAAAGGAAGACAGTTGTGACCAGGTTCATTGGGCCTTGAGAGAGTGATGGTATATGGGTTAGCTTGAACTAATCTAGAACCTTCTTCTTAACAATTAACAGAACTAGAAAGAATACTTATATCTTTTGGATTTATAAAGGCGATCATAAAATAACTTAAAAATACTTGAAGAAAAGACCTGAACCCAAATGGCTTCATATCAAACTACAAGCAATTCTTGGTTAGGAGAGGCTAATACAGTGCATCAAACCTAAACCACTCTGCAGTCTTTTACTACCACCTTCGTTTGATCTTCTTTCATCTTCTTTGTCCCATGATTTCTATTCTATCTCATTCTGCAGGCATCAGAACCCACGTAGTTATTTGAAAGGTTCTCTCCCCATAATCTAAAGACTCCAGCTTGACTAAAGTTCTAAAGCTCCAAAGACCCCAAATTCAAGAGCTTTTATGCTTCTTTAGCTTCTTTTCTTATTTTTGGATTCTGTAAGAATACATGCCCATGATGGAGTTGCTGGGCAGGCTTTCCAGTCCCCAAGAAGGGACATATTCCTGTCTTCTGAGGGTGCTGTAGGTCTTCTGTTGGGCTGGGGGAGGATTCATGGTCTTACTTTTGGAGGGGAAAACGCCCCTTCTTATCTGAGCTCCATTTTTTCTCATAGACAAAAGGGTTTACTGTCATTATTATTATTATTGTTATCTGTCCTCGACGTAGCAGAAGCTAAATACATTTTTTGGTTTGAAACAACAGGCTAGACATCCATAGTATTACTTGTAGTGCACCAACATAAACAATACCAAACTAGAATGTTCTCTTCTCCTTTCCCTTTTCTTCTCAAATAATGCAGTCCTGAAGACATAATATGAGACATTGCAAAGGCTGTGTTCAGGATGATTGTTGGTGCTGGGCAGGGAGGCTGCAGTGGACTAGGCTTGGGCTTTGGAGCCCAAGTGAGAGGAAAAAGTAAAACGTTTATGAAGTAGGAAGGAGATTGCCTGGTGAGTGGTGTCAGAGTTGAAGTGGGTATGGGGGTGTCCATATGTAGAGTGGCTTCGTGCGTAGTGTCAAAGTCCAAGGGAATCTTCATGGGGAAAGGAGTAGTAGCAACAATGGAAGATTGGTTATATGTAGTAATATTAATCCATAAGTAAATATATTAAAGGCAGTGAGAGCCATGCTTCTCTTTGGAGGGGAAGAAAAATTGCAAATAAGAGAAAGAAAACTAGGATGAACCTTTTTGTATGAGACTGGAATTATAGCCATTAATCTGAACTCATGGTTTTCAATATGTGTGTCTATCTACATATGTGTGTGTGTGTGTGTCTGTGTGTGTGTGTGTGTGTAAATATGTGTACAGGCATGCGGTGTGTGTGCATTCCTTAGTTCTGTCAGGTGAGAGAGCCTGGGATTAATGACACTCCACATCTTGGCATCTAAATACCATTCTTCTCCAAAAGAAACCAGTTTGTCCTGGAGAAACATTAGTTTGCAAGAAAAGTACAAGACAAGCCAAGCCTGGAATGTCTTTTTGTACCAGAAAGCAAAGGAGTTCTCAAAAAGAATGATGAGATGTTCACATATAAGTGAGACCATATAATATTTTTCTTTCTGTATCTGGTTTATTTCACTTAGCATAATGTACTCCAGGGTTATCCATGTTGCAGCAAATGGCAGGATTTCCTACTATTTAAAGGCTGAATAATATTCAGTTTCTTTATCTATTTGTCCTCCATGGACACTCAGGTTATTTCCATATCTTGGCTATTCTAAATAATGTTGCAATGAACATGGGCATGGAGATATCTTTATGAGGTGGTGATTTTATTTTCTTTGAGTATATACCCAGAAGAGGAATTGCTGGGTCATATGGTAACTCTGTTTTTAATCTCTTGTGGGCTGTGTGTGTGTGTGTGTGTGAGAGAGAGAGTGTGTGTGAGAGAGTGTGTGTGTGTTTGAGATAGAGAATAAAATAGTGGCTACCAGAGGCAGGATTAAGGGTAGGAAATGGGGAGATGTAGGTCAAAAGATACTAAGTAGCAGATATGTAGGATGAACAAATTTAAAGATACAAAGTACAACATGAAGACTATAGTTAATTATAGTGTATTGTATTCAGGATTTTTGCTAAATGACTAGATTGTAACTGCTCCTGCCACAGAGGAAAAATAGATAACTATGTGAGACGATTTGTTTCATGATAGTAACTGTTATACTGTATATGTGTAGCTGAAAACAGCATATATTATGCCTTAAGTATACACAATAAAATTTATTTTTTTAAATGATGAGAATATATTAAAAGGACACATAAGCCTTTTTAAACGGCTCCTACTGGCCAAATTTGGGATGAATTGAGAATTATAATAAATAATGTTAGTAATTGATTATAGCTGATTAAATGACATAGAAAAAAGAATTTGTTCTGATATAAATAAACCAATGAATAAGATAAATATTTGTTGAGGAACAGGATATTTACATGGTCTCACCTTGTCACAAAATACTTATTAATTACAACAGGAAACAGTGAATCTACATTGAAGAGGCCAGTCATACCCCATTTGAATCCAGTAATCAGTATGAACATCATTAATGATGAGTCAAGTCCCATAGGATATAATCAGAAGAATGAGACATCACATCAATAATGTGTAACCTGTATCTAATTATGAGGGAACATCAGGAAAACCAAAATTGATAGATTGTCCACAAAACAACTGTCTTGTAGTCTTCAAAAAATGTCAAAGTCATGAAAGTCAAGGAAAGACTGAAGAAATGTCTCAAACTGAAGAAAATAAATACAATATGACAGCTAAGTACAATGCTTACTTGTGATCCAGAGCTTTTTGTCACAAAGGCCATTATTGGAACAACTGGTGAAATTTGAATAGAATCTGAAAATTAGATGATAGCCCTGTGGTAAAGTTAATTTCCCAGAGCATTCGATGATAGCAATGCGGTAAAGTTAATTTCCCAATTTTGATATTTATATCACAGTCATGTATAAAAAAATGTCCTCATTTGTGAGAAATACACACTAGAGTACTTAAGAGTAGTGGAGAATCAATTTGGCAATTTACACTAAAAAATTTGCAGGAAAAAACATTCCTTTCACTATATTGGAAACTTTCCTGTAAGTTTAGAGTTAGTGACTTCTTGACAAACACCTGAAATCTGAGCTTTAAAACTGTAAAATGAAACTATAAGAAAAGAGGAAAAAAGATACGATGCTGAATTAAACATATGTATCACATACAAGTGCCACTCTTGGATGAAATGCTCTTGGTACAGAGCCTGCTGGTAGGTTAATAGGAGGAACATACCGATTTCCATGCCATGTTCAAAGGTGAATTTGATCATTCTATGCAAATTATATCTGTACTGGAGACTTGTAATTAGTCTAAGCATAATATGATTAGGTGGATGAAATATTTTGGAGTTTGGTTTTGTTTTAAATGTAAATACTCATGAAAAGTAAAACATACTGCACTGTGTCCCTGGGAATATTTTTGTTATCTTTAAAATACTCAGTATTATAGGCATTTATTAACACAGCCTTACATTTGCCCGGTTTGACCTGGAGGCCGAAATGAATTGTGACTTATGTCCCAGCTGGTGTTCCCAAATTATGGCAAGGACTGGATGTCATTTGTTGCTGTGAATGACTTCTTGCCAGAAACCTGAGATCTAAGCATCCAAAATCACACTCCAAGGGATTCCTGAAATACACTTTTTTTTTTTTTCTTTTGAGACGGAGTCTTGCTCTGTCACCAGGCTGGAGTGCAGTGGTGCGATCTCAGCTAACTGCAGCTTCCACCTCGCAGGTTCAAGTGATTCTCCTGCCTTAGCCTCCCAAGTAGCTGGGACTACAGGCACGTGCCACCATGCCCAGCTAATTTGTGTATTTTTAGTAGCGACAGGGTTTCACCATGTTGGCCAGGATGGTCTCAATCTCTTGACCTCGGGATCCTCCCGCCTCAGCCTCCCAAAGTGCTGGGATTACAAGTGTGAGCCACTGTGCCCGGCCACATATTTTTTTTTAATCTTCTATCATATAATCATTAGGTCGTTGAGCCTTTCAAAATCTTCTGTTTGAAAACATCCCCTTCAACTCTGTCGTTGCCATGTGAAAAGATCAAATTGAATAATCTACTACCCAGTGTCTCTTTATGTATGAAGGCTTTAAGCCAAACACAGGATACCATTGTCTTAATCTTCCTGCTGTATAACAAAATTACTTAAACTGGGTAATTAATAAACAATAGAAGTTTTTTGCTCACAGTTGTGGAGGTTGGAAAGTTCAAGTGTCTAGTGAGATCTCTGTGCTGCATAGATGGTGACTTCTTGCTGTGTCCACACATAGTGGAAAGGGTAAACAGGCTCCCTTGGGCCTCTTTTATAAGGCTACTAATCATATTTATGAAAGCAGAGCTTTCATGACCTAATCACTTCCCAAGGCTCCACCTTTTAATACCACCACCTGGGGATTTAGGTTTGAACATATGAATTTTGGAGAGACACAGACATTCAGACCATAGCAGCTATTTACCCATGCAAATAACAAATCCAGTGATCAAGAAGCTAGTCATCACCACAGTTGGTCAGTTGCAACCACTGAATAAAGACAATGGGATATTTAGCTGGAAAGATGTTCAGATGACATTTCTTTTCTAATTTTCATTGAAATTTTTCAAAGCTGCTAGAAGTTAGACTTTTTTAAAAACACTCCCATTAAAAACCAGAGAAGCTATGCTCTTGTTTATATTGGAATCAAACCAAATTTAACCCCCTTTTAAGATTTTCTTGGCTGTAAGAATTTCTTGGTAATGGCTGAAAGAGCCCTGATTATTTTTTTAATTTGACTTTTATTTAAGTTCAGGGGTACATATGAAGGTTTGTTATATAGGTAAACTTGTGTCATGGGGTTTGTTTTACAGATTATTTCATCACCCAGGTATTAAGCCTATACCCATTAATTGTTTTCCCGATCCTCTCCCTCCTCCCACCCTCCACCCTCCAATAGGCCCCAGTGTGTGTTGTTCCCCTCTATGTGTCCATGTGTTCTCATCATTTAGCTCCCACTTATAAGTGACAACATGCAGTATTTAGTTTTCTGTTCCCGTGTTAGTTTGCTAGGGATAATGGCCTCCAGTTCCATCCGTGTTCCTGCAGAGGACAAGATTGTATTCTTTTTGATGGATGCATAGCAAATACCATTTGACACAGCAATACCATTACTGGGTATATACCCAAAGAAATGTAAATTGTTCCATTATAAAGATACATGCATGTGTATATTCATTGCAGCACTATTCACAATAGCAAAGACATAGCATCAACCCAAATGTTTGATCAGTGGTAGACTTGATAAATAAAATGTGGTACATATACACCATGGAATACTATGGAGCCCTGGTGATTTTATCCAGTTGATGATACACTTGGGATTACTAAAGCATAGCCATAGCCAGTTAGGCCACTTCGTGTTATTCATAAGGAATAAGTCAAACTTTGGACTGCCTGGTAACATTTCTTCATATTAAGTCCTACCTTATTCTGAGTGCAAATCCATCATCAGGTAGTACCTGTTTTCTCCATGGACTGGACAGGGTGCATTTATAAGCCCATCTTTGTGTTTAGACTGTACTATTAAGAGGAATATAGCAAGGACACCTCTTCTCCATTTCACATGAAGATGGATGTATTAAGTATTAACTAGGTGTTTGCAAAATACTTTCAAGGAAAAAAATGCAATAAAAGTGCTAAATATAATTATTATTAAAAAATTATGACAATCATTTAGATGAGTAATTTTAAAGCTCTTCATTAAACATGATTGGATATTATGTTAATTCATTAAGCTCTACTTCAAGTGGTAGATAAATAAGGTGCATTATTAATATGTCATAAACTAAATGAAATAATGCCTCATAGGCCTATTATTTTTAAAGTGCCTTGCAAATATTAACAAATGCTTACATTCTTTTGAGGACAACTTGTACGATTTGATAGGAATTGTTGCAGTAATTTTGTTTCTCATAATATAAAATGCTTACTACAAAACCTAGGGTCTTTAAATTTTTCAGTCTGTCGTTTTTTTTTTTTTTTTTTTTTTTTTTTTTTTTTTTTTTGAGACGGAGTCTCGCTCTGTCGCCCAGGCTGGAGTGCAGTGGCGCAATCTCGGCTCACTGCAAGCTCCGCCTCCCGGGTTCACGCCATTCTCCTGCCTCAGCAGTCTGTCGTTTTTTAAGTAATGTATACTTATTTAAAAATACAGATACATATAAATATGAAAATAAAATTGTTGCTAATCACTAAACTACCCAAATAAAGTCTTTGTGAATATTTTAGAAACTTTTTTGTCAGTTTTCTAAGCTTATATTTGTGATCTGTGCGCTTGTGTATGTCTGTATTTCTTTCACAAAGTGTCTTATTGTATATAATGTCTCATATATTCCATTTCTAGTTAAAATATTAAACAGACCACCCTTCCCACACTATTTATGGGCTTGCAATGCTATTTTTTCACTAAAAACAAGTAAAGAAACAAGCAAGTAAAGAAACAAAAAAGCAGGGTTTCTTAGACAAATGGCTAATCCTAGGTCTGGTGTATAAGATGAGCCTGAAACATTTTCATAACAGATAGTAAGAAAAGTAGGGCCCATCAAGAGTACTCATGATCCAACCTGGAGCCCAGGCACTCACAGCATCAGAAGCCAACTGGCTGAATGTTGGACAATTCAGGCAATAACATCAATGGATTGAAATACATCAAATATGTTAAAAATCCATGCCTTCAAAATAATACAAAAGTAAAAAAATAACTGTTTACCAATGCAGGATGCTTGTAAATCAACTTATGATTAAAACAACAAACTAATAAATAGAAGGAAAGAAGAAGGTTTTATCCTGTTTTAAATTGTCTTTATTTGTATTAAATGTATGTGGTAAGTGTAATTTTGTTACATGGATAGATCATGTAGTGGCAAAGTCAAGGCTTTTAGGGTATTCATCATCCAAATTAATGTACACTAAGAAACTTCTTATCATCCATCCCCTCAACCTCCCCCTTTCCAAGTCCCTATTGTTTATTATTCCACATGTGAGCATGTTATTTACCGCCCACTAAATATCTATGTCCACGTGTGCATATTTTCTAGCTCCCACTTGTGAGAACATGCGGTACTTTCTGTCTCTGAGCTGTTTCACTTAAGATAATGGCCTACAGTTCCATCCATGTTGCTGCAAAAGACATGATTTTATCTATTTGCATGGCTTCATGGTATTCTATTATATACATATGCCACATTTTATCTCCTCTATCAACAAGTAACCAAATAGTAGATGGAGTTTTTTTTTTTAATAGAAGTATATTACAGCTGGCAAGTGAGAAAGAACTGTCAGAATTAGTATACCACAATTTTCCAACTCTAAATTAATTAATAGACCAAGACATTGATTATTAACAGCTGTTAACATCAATAAAACAGAGTACAACTAAATAGCATATACTTCCTGGTGAAATAATGCACACCACTCATGAACTAGTATTGTTTAAAAAATATGAACCTAGTTCTGGTCAAACTTCTAGATCCAACTACTAATTTATAGAAAATCAGATGATGGAGAAATATATGAGATGATACCATGGTTGAAACTAGCAAAAATAAGATTGTAGGGAACTCTACAAGGAGAAAAAAAAAACCCTGGTTCTTCCAATATACATACATACTGAAGAGAAAGAGATAACAAGAAGGAAACCTACAGGGTAAAAGAAACTTAAATAAAAATATCAAACAATTGTGAAATGTGAATCTTATTTATATTTTAATTTAAACAAAAAGCTGCTGAAAGATATCGTCAACATTTGTGAAACATTTAGATATGTGAACACTGAATATTTGATTATTTTGAAAAACATTGTTCACCTTTAGGTGAAATAATAGTGTGTTTATGTGTCTATGTGTATTATACATACACATATATATATATATTTAAAAGGATATTTGTCTTATAGAAATAGATCCTGAAAAATGTGTATGGATAAAGTGATATGAATTTCCTTTAAAATAATTTTAGGGCGGAAGGTAGCCACAAGATAACCATTTATTATACTCTTCTGCCTACCTTTACATATTTTTGAAATTTAATAATAAAATATTTTAAAATATACTGACTTTTCTTTCTTATAACAAAGTTTTCTTTGAAGACATGTGATATGGTTTGGCTCTGTGTCCCCATCCAAATCTCATCTTGTAGCTCCCATAATTCCCACATGTTGCCAGAGGGACCCAGTGAAAGATAATTGAATCATGGTCAGGGCCAGGGGGGTGGTTTCCTGTGCTGTTATTGTGATAGTGAATAAGTCTAATGAGATCTGATGGTTTTAAAAAGGAGAGTTTCCCTGCAGAAGCTCTCTCTCTCTTTGCCTGCCACCATCCATTTAAGATGTGACTTGCTCCTCCCTGCCTTCCACTATGATTGTGAGGCCTCCCCAGCCATATGGAACTGTAAGTCCATTAAACTTCTTTCTTTTCTAAATTGCCCAGGCTCGGGTATGTATTTATCAGCAGTGTGAAAACTGACTGATACCACATGATTGCCAAGGTTTCCCTAAGCATGATTAATAATATATTATTGCTTATTAAATAGATCAGAGGGTCTAAAACCTACAAACTGTGAGGCCTTGAAAGAAACTTGATCTAGAATTTTTGTATTCCAATTTTATTATATTTGTCTCCAAAATTTATCTGTTTTTCTTACACTGATTATTAAATAGTCTAATCTTTTCCCATTATTGTGAAATGACCCTGTTGCTTCATTCAAGTACACTGTGTATGCTTCAGTTCTCTGGCATGTCCCTGGGCTAATCCTGGGTTCTACTTATTCGTTATTTGTCTCACTGCTTTTCAGCTCCTCCGTTTCTTTTGAATTTCTCTCTCTCTTTCTCTGTCTCTGACACACACGCGCACACACACACACACACCCACACACACACACACACACGAGAATTTCCCAAATGTTTGATCCTTGACTAACCATTTTTATTTAAAAGCAGTAAAAAAGCAGATTGGAAACCCTGGATATAGGGGTTAATTGAGTTATAGCAGCAGTGATAAGTCCTTTTGCTTTGGCTGGTCTGTTTCTACAGCAATAAATCTTCCAATCTTCTGCCTTGTCTGCCAGCTTTCTAGAAGTTAACAGAAGAGCTTTTCTTGAGGGTGGGGATATAGGAACCTAATGCTCCTTATATAAACTTCAAGACACCTGTGTTTTCAGCTCACCCCACTTTCAGAGGTACCTGATTCCTTCAATCCCTGATTCTTTCCAGCAGTCACATGCAGGAATGGGATGCTTCCTGTTGGTTTTCCTCTCTATCTGCATAGGTGATGATAAGTTTCTAAAGTGTTTGCTTCCTAAATGAGTTGTGACTATAAAGAAACTTTCTAGCTTCCAAACCACTGGTGATATCTATGCTTATTTTCTTTTATTCTTGAGGGCAGATGCCTTTTCTCTTCTTTTTTTAACTGTTAAATGAGGTTTTGAGCTGTTAGAGATAAGTTCCAAAAATAACTAAAATCATAACTCTCAAAATGTTAAAGATTTTATTTAACTTACTAATGAGGAAACTAGTGAGACATTACAACCAGTTCAAAGAAGAATCCAAGGAACAGATGCATTTATAATTAGCAATATTTAAATGAATGTGCAAATAGAGGCAAAATTTGTTTTTTCTTCAGTAGGAGAGCAAAATCAATTAAAACTCTACCAGACAGGACAGAATGTGTGTGTCTATGGACGGGGATGATTTTGCATTGCTTTTAGTTATTGGCAATTTACAGAGTTGTAAAATAACTCCCCCAGAATTGGAATCATCAGATATCACAGAAAAGTATGCTAAGACATTGCCCAGTTTTCCACTGAAACACATTTTTCCCCTACATGGCTCAAACAGGATGAAGCCATGGGTTCAACTATTGAAGTTTAAGTGAGTGTATCCATACCTAATTTTCCTTTCTTTCTTTTTTCTTAGGTGAACTCTACTAGACGATGAAGTAATGCCTGCATGTTTTTCTGTCAATACAAAATAATCAATAATTTGCTTTACAGTTTTGAGAAAACCCATTGATGCTATGACAAAGGTTGCCTGCCTTTTCCATTTTGCTGCTGTTTTCATATTTTTTCTTTTTTCTTCTAAACATCTTAATGAGTCAGAAGTATCATGATAGAAAACTGTTAAGCTGGTATTATATGATACCAGATACCCTTGAAAATATCTCATCTATGCAGTTTCACCAACATTTACACAAGACTTGAAAAGCACCCAAGGTCTGTCATAGCCAGAGAATATTTTCTCCTCCAGCACTTTCTGTAAGGTGTGAGATCATTTGATTTGTGCATGAGATCAAAATACCAGATCAAGTGCATCAGTGAATTTCTAATTCTTGGAATGCCTTGTGACAGTCACTGTCTTGGCCTAATCAGAATTGTTATTTACTTTAGAATTGCCCCACCCATATGGTCCTCTCAACAGTTCCTGGTGTCCACAGCCCAGGCTGCTGTCAGTGTTCCAGTTCCTTGTTGCATTCATAATTGCTCCAAAGTCATTCTTCAATGTGCAAACTCTTTCTGCCTCAACCATTATCAGTTGAACAAGTATATTTCTATGGTTTGTGCTGTTTCTGTTCCTGAATGCAACTGCCCAAATCCATGGCAAAATAAGACCTTTAGGATATAAGAATATGAACTCTTCTTGAATACTACTGCTTTTCATGTCTTCTTCTTACGTCTTCCACTAAGTCTGCAGTAAGAGACTTGCAGCCCCTATGGTTATAGGTGGGGAAAAAACAAGAGTGTTGTATTGAGACCTGCCTTCAGGCCTCTTTCATTTTTCCAAATCCCTTTCTTCTATGTTTTCTTTTTTTAATTTTTATTTTTTTTCCTATCTTATTGAGCAACTTCTCTTCTCTCAGCTATAGTGCCTGGAGATAAAAGCTGTCATATTGCAGCTTAAATACAGTTTCAACATATTTCAGTAGCAGCTATACAATTTCTATAGAGTCAGGGATTAACGTCAGCAGTTTGGTTGGAAAAAGGCAGGGAGAATATTGAAACCATGTTCATATGACACTTGACATAGAATTGAGGAAATAACAATTTTCCATGACAAAGAATGAGAAGGAACAAGTATGTATTATTGGGGATCTGAATGCTTGATCCTTGCTACCTCCTAACCTCTTGGCCCTACAGCTGACTCTATTATGCCCTTTGAGAAACATCGTAAACAAAAGTAGTGGGGGTGGGGTTTTACAGAGGCAGGCAGATGAGGGAGTAATCCACAAGTTTATGGGAGTAATGAGGTAAGATGGAGATGGAACTTATCTTGAAATATGTGAGAGCAGAGTGATCATTTGCACTCAGCCATTTCTTAATTCTTAGAACGCAAAAGGATGGGGAGACTTCTCAACCTTCACTGTGTTCCAACTTCTAGGAATTTAGGACTCATGTAAAGTACAATATGGTCACCTGTCACGTGTGGTTTGCATTCCTGTTCTTTCTGCAAGTACATCATAGCATGTCCCCCAGTTTTTCAAGTATATGACAAATGTGATTTAACTTCCCATTACAGTAAATTACGATGTCGAAGACAAACAAAGCTAGATGTTGGTTAAAGACGTCCAGCAGTTGGTTAAGACAGATTTTATTCATATAATAACTATTACAATAGGGAAGAGAGTCTATTGTAAACTGAGCTCAACTTTGCCAGAGCAAGAGACAGAAGTGTTCTTAGATGCTGGGGTATGCTCAAGGAAAGGCACTGATTGGTGTTAAGCATGGTGGGGGAGCAGAGATCAGACCATGTGATTGGGCCGTCAGGGTTTGCTAACTGGTGCTTATCCAGAGGAGAAACAAATTTCTCCTATCTTTCTGTCAGAAGGTAGTAAGTTGGAACAAGGTGCCCACCAAATTTAGGCCTTTATCTTCCCACAGGGACTGAGAGAGAAAGAGATAACTTTTTAAACTTTTGCATTTCTTTTTTTTTTTTTTGCTGTTACTTCACCTTTATTTTTTTATGTTCTCTTTTTTAATTTTATTATTATTATACTTTAAGTTTTAGGGTACATGTGCACAATGTGCAGGTTAGTTACATATGTATACATGTGCCATGCTGGTGTGCTGCACCCATTAACTCTTCATTTAGCATTAGATATATCTCCTAATGCTATCCCTCCCCACTCCCCCGACCCCACAACAGTCCCCAGAGTGTGATGTTCCCCTTCCTGTGTCCATGTGTTCTCATTGTTCAATTCCCACCTATGAGTGAGAATATGCGGTGTTTGGTTTTTTGTTCTTGCGATAGTTTACTGAGGATGATGATTTCCAGTTTCATCCTTGTCCCTACAAAGGACATGAACTCATCCTTTTTTATGGCTGCATAGTATTCCATGGTGTATATGTGCCACATTTTCTTAATCCAGTCTATCATTGTTGGACATTTGGTTTGGTTCCAAGTCTTTGCTATTGTGAATAGAGCTGCAATAAACATACGTGTGCATGTGTCTTTATAGCAGCATGATTTATAGTCCTTTGGGTATATATCCAGTAATGGGATGGCTGGGCCAAATGGTATTTCTAGTTCTAGATCCCTGAGGAATCACCACACTGACTTCCACAATGGTTGAACTAGTTTACAGTCCCACCAACAGTGTAAAAGTGTTCCTATTTCTCCACATCCTCTCCAGCACCTGTTGTTTCCTGAATTTTTAATGATTGCCATTCTAACTGGTGTGAGATGGTATCTCATTGTGGTTTTGATTTGCATTTTTTGATGGCCAGTGATGGTGAGCATTTTTTCATGTGTTTTTTGGCTGCATAATTGTCTTCTTTTGAGAAGTGTCTGTTCATGTCCTTCGCCCACTTTTTGATGGGGTTGTTTGTTTTTTTCTTGTAAATTTGTTTGAGTTCATTGTAGATTCTGGATATTAGCCCTTTGTCAGATGAGTAGGTTGCGAAAATTTTCTCCCATTTTGTAGGTTGCCTGTTCACTCTGATGGTAGTTTCTTTTGCTGTGCAGAAGCTCTTTAGTTTAATTAGATCCCATTTGTCAATTTTGGCTTTTGTTGCCATTGCTTTTGGTGTTTTAGACATGAAGTCCTTGCCCATGCCTATGTCCTGAATGGTACTGCCTAGGTTTTCTTCTAGGGTTTTTATGGTTTTAGGTCTAACGTTTAAGTCTTTAATCCATCTTGAATTCATTTTTGTGTAAGGTGTAAGAAAGGGATCCAGTTTCAGCTTTCTACATATGGCTAGCCAGTTTTCCCAGCACCATTTATTAAATAGGGAATCGTTTCCCCATTGCTTGTTTTTGTCAGGTTTGTCAAAGATCAGATAGTTGTAGATATGCGGCATTATTTCTGAGGGCTCTGTTCTGTTCCATTGATCTATATCTCTGTTTTGGTACCAGTACCATGCTGTTTTGGTTACTGTAGCCTTGTAGTATAGTTTGAAGTCAGGTAGTGTGATGCCCTCCAGCTTTGTTCTTTTGGCTTAGGATTAACTTGGTGTTGCGGGCTCTTTTTTGGTTCTGTATGAACTTTAAAGTGTTTTTTTCCAATTCTGTGAAGAAAGTCATTGGTAGCTTGATGGGGATGGCATTGAAGCTATAAATTACCTTGGGCAGTATGGCCATTTTCACGATATTGATTCTTCCTGCCCATGAGCATGGAATGTTCTTCCATTTGTTTGTATCCTCTTCTATTTCATTGAGCAGTGGTTTGTAGTTCTCCTTGAAGAGGTCCTTCACGTCCCTTGTAAGTTGGATTCCTAGGTATTTTATTCTCTTTGAAGCAATTGTGAATGGGAGTTCACTCATGATTTGGCTCTCTGTTTGTCTGTTACTGGTGTATGAGAATGCTTGTGATTTTTGTACATTGATTTTGTACCCTGAGACTTTGCTGAAGTTGCTGATCAGCTTAAGGAGATTTTGGGCTGAGACAATGCAACAACCCTTCATGCTAAAAACTCTCAATAAATTAGGTATTGATGGGACATATCTCAAAATAATAAGAGCTATCTATGACAAACCCACAGCCAATATCATACCGAATGGGCAAAAACTGGAAGCATTCCCTTTGAAAACTGGCACAAGACAGGGATGCCCTCTCTCACCACTCCTATTCAACATAGTGTTGGAAGTTCTGGCCAGGGCAATTAGGCAGGTGAAGGAAATAAAGGGTATTCAATTAGGAAAAGAGGAAGTGAAATTGTCCCTGTTTGCAGATGACATGATTGTAGATCTAGAAAATGTTTGCATTTCAAAGAGACACCCCTCTACCTCCTGCCTCCCCTTCACAGTCCTTGAGAAGACAGTTTGGGGTGGCAGAATATTTACATATAAACAGGCAGAGAAAGGATTTATAATTGCAAACTTTCTAAAGTATCTGCTCTAAGAGGAGCTTTAGGGGCCTATAAGCCTATCACAAGCTTTTGACTGGAACAAACAGTAAATTCTCCTGGCAGTATTGTGCTTTCTGGTGCAGGCTTTTTTTTTTTTTTTTTTTTTTTTTTTCTGAGACAGAGTCTTGCTCTGTGGCCCAGGCTGGAGTGCAGTGGCACTATCTCAGCTCACTGTAACCTCTGCCTCCCAGGTTTAAGCGTCCCTAGTAACTGGGATTACAGGCACACACCACCACGCCCGGCTAATTTTTGTATTTTTAATAGAGACAGAGTTTCACCATGTTGGCCAGACTGGTCTTGAACTCCTGACCTTAGGTGATCTGCCCACTTCAGCCTCCCAAAGTGCTGGGATTATAGGCATGAGCCACTGCGCCTGGCTGGTGCAGGCATTTTAATGAGGGTAGGATGATCTTTGGGACACAGCCTTAAACTGCTAGAAGCTATGCTAAAGTTAAGTCTCTTAGTGGTGGAATTTGGGTGGACTGATTATTGCTCAGAATTTTTTGTAGTTCTCAGTGGAAGTTCTTTTTTTAAATAACCCACTAGTGACCTTATTGTTGTAATGGTGGACATTGGCAGTGAAAGACTATCTTTGTACCAGATTACAACCCTGTAAGCTTCTCAAACACTCAGAAAAATCCAAGAATTCTCAAGAAATTGACCCTGTTCAGTCAATCAAGCCAGACAAGCATGGGGCCAGGTGGTACTGTGAGATTTCTTGGAGTCCAGTGAAAACCTAAACAACCAAACAAACAAAAGTAATGTGACCTAGTTACCAAAATATTACGCTTCTTCTTTGTCATGATATGTATATGTATGTGTATGTCTCCCTTTACAGGCCATGTAGTATATTTCCCACCCTTAATATTAATATTTTGTAATTGTTACAGCAACCTTAAGAATTTTCCTAGGCTGCTATTCATTAAGGAGGATACTGGCCCTGGGCTATGCTTGCAGCTTCCAGCTCCTCCCAGCGAGCTATTAATTCTCTAAAAATGTTTTGGTACTTAATATGCTGCCTCCTAATTTATAGCATCTCACTAAGAAGGAAACAAAAACAAAAAAAAACACCTAATGTTGTTTGACCTCTGCTATATCAGCATGAGGGACACATCTGTGTCTCAACAGCTAATAAAAATAGAGTCACAAGGGTGATGGGCAAATTTTGGTGAGTGATTTTTGTTGTTGATTACCACAGACACTAGAACTAAAATTTCAGTAGGTTGCTACTGATTGCATGTCATGGAATGCTGGGCCATGCATCCACATCAGTTTAAGTAACAGTGGTTAACTGGTTAAGTCATTTTCCAGACACAGAAAAAGTTTGAGGTACATATTTTTTCTTGGTAATCCAAAAGAACTTCCACATCATCACGTAATTGTTTATTTGCTATTTTTACAGACATTTAAAAAATGGAAAAACAGAAAGATTCAGTAGTCATTTAGCTTTTATAAAAGAAGCAGATGCCAGGGCCCCACCTACAGAGATCTGACAGAGTTGGTCTGTCCACACAGAGCCTAGATTTTTACATTTCATCAAGTGATTTTGATATATTTCAAGCCCACACATTGGGAAAAACTGCTTTCAGACACTTAACACATTTAAACAGAGAAGCTTTAGCTCAAGTTTGCATACAAAAATCTATAAGTGATGGAAGCATATAATTGGGCTGCTGGTTGAGAAAGGCAGAAAGCAACAGGAGGCCATTGAGATAAAGAGGAAAAATGGTAAGAAAATTAGGCCAACTATTTGTAGTGCACTCATTTCATTTTCTTGTTTAGTTTACATTGGTTAGAAGAAGATGACATGGACTAAGTGTAAGGTGAGGTAGTGGGAGTCGAGAACAGGAAGACCACTTTAGGGTGGGGAGGTCTAGAATAAGAAGCTGAGCTTAGAATGTGATGTCTGTGTGAAAAGAACTTTAGAGATCTCCAGATTAAAAAGAGATCTCCATATTTCCTAATAAGGGGAAAAGAAAAGATATGTCCAATAAAAGAGAAATAATGGGGACTTCTAACAAATATTGATGAAGTGAAGGAATGAGACTTCCAAGACTGGGTCATAAAGGACACCACAGCTGTTCTTTGCTCTCTCAGGTCATTCTGTCTGGGGAAAGCCATCTGCCATGTCATAAGGACACTCAAGCTGTCCTGTGGAGAAGCCTACATGACAAGGAACTGAGGACTCCTTGGCAATAGCCAGTGACGAGTTTAGGCCTTTAGCCAGCAGTCGTGAGTGTGCCATTGTGGAAGCAGAGCCTTTGGCCCATAATTTTCAACCAAAGGTGATTTTATACCCCCATGGACTTGTCAATGTCTAGAGACATTTTGGTTGTCACAACTGGGAGGTGGGGGTAATACTAGCGTGTAATGGTTGGAGGCCATGGATGCTGGCCTCATAGATATATGAGGTATATATTCATCCCCAAATATCAGTAGTTCCAAGGTAAAGAAACCTGCTCAGTCCCAGTCAAGCCTTCAGATGACTGCATCCCAGTTGACATTTGGACTGCAACATTGAGGCAGGATATTTCCCTGACCTCTTCACGGGACTCACAGAGGGAGTGCCTCATTTACTCAACCCACAGTTCTTGACTCCTTGTGGGAGGAAGCACACAAGTGAGTGAGGCAGGAACTGGAGTGCAGAGGTGCTAGAACTAGCCAGCTGCTTTGGCACCAGCAGGGGTGAACTTCATTCACTTGGACCTGCTGTGATCTGCCCCTGGTGGGAGGAAGCATGCAGGTGAGTTGGTGCAGGAGCCAGGATGAGCGCTTTTAGGGTGCCAGCAGGAGTGAACTCCATTGTGGGCCCTGCAGCAGCACCTGGAGGGGGTGCCTGCAACCCATGAAGCCGCAGAGGCAGCTGCCTTCCACCGGTGAGGGCAAAGGGTCAGTGTGACAGCCTTTTTGTATCCACACTCTTGGCTCCTGAGCCCTTATCTAGCATCTAGGAGAATGGAGGTCACACGAATGAATTGAAGGATGGTAAATGAGGGGGATTTTATTGCCAATGAAAGTGGCTCTCAGCAGGAAGGGGAGCTGAAAAGGGGACAGACGAGATGGGAAGATAATCTTCCCCTGAAGACTGGCCATCTCCAGATGGATTTATCTCAGAAGTTAGGCCCTCAAGGTTTCCCTCTGAAGTCAAGCTGCTTCTCTCCTCTCCCCAATTGTAGCCTCCAACATCTAGCTGCTTCTCTTCTCTCTGCTGGCTGAGCCTGGGGTTTTTATAGGCAGAGGATGTCAGGTAGGGCAGGCCATGGGTGGTTTTGGAAAAGGCAACATTCAAGCAGGAAAACAGGGATGTCAGTTCTCACTTTGAGCTAGTCTCAGGTTTTTCGGCTTGAGGGTGGGGCTTTGACAGGGACCCACCCCTGTCTGCCTAGAATTTCTCTTCCTCCTGTCCCCATCAATGTCATGAGAGATTTTGAGCCACAGCCACTCAGTTCATCTGCTCCAGGATTTCTGACCTTTCAAATGTGTGTGAGATAATAAATGTGTTGTTTTAAGCTGCTGAGTTTTGGGTTATTTATGCAGCAATAAATAACTAATACAGCCCCCAAAATGTTTCTCTAGGGTTGGAGTAGATATTTTAAGTAACCAAATCAGGCTGGTATTTGGAGGGCATAAGAGGGACAGACAGAACATGAATAAATATTTCTGCTAAATAGCATGTTGGGCAGTAAAGTATATTTTATTATCATAGTTCATGAGACTTACCAAAGCTCAATTAGTGATGATTATAACAAGTGGCTTGTTAAAGCTGAAACTTACATGTTTCATACCTCTTGGCAGAAAGACACTGGTAACTGTCAAGATTTCCAGGAATAATTAAGAGTGCTGAATGAGGCAGCAAGGCCTTATGGAATCAGTAAGTAAAGAAAAACAGAAGTTGCATATTTACAAACTGAACAGTGAAGTGAGTAGGTGATAAATAGAGAAGCTACCAGGATAGAAGCAAGGTATGTTAGAGATGATGCTGTCATCTTTGTAAACTTTAGTGGAGGGCTCAAAGAAGAGAAGTTGAGGCTGATGTTCTGCAAATGTGACTGAATGCAAACTCCCTGGAGAGCCTGTGGAAATGCAGATTGAGGGGCTGCAGATTCTGCATTTGACTAACAAGTCCCAAGAGAAAATGAAAGAACTTGATTCTGTAGAGAGGACATTTCTTCTTGTAAGGCCTCAGAGATGAAAGGGAATTATATTGATAAGACACACATATTTGGAAGATGAGAAAAGGGATCCATTCTCATACAACTAGTTCAGGTTTTTTTTTAAAAAAAAAAACAAAGGTGGTGGGGGTGGATCACCATAATCCTGCCAAGAGTGAAAGTAATAGGAACAGAGGGGGAAAGCAGCAGAGGAAGGGCAATGGTTTGGAATAGCTGCAAGGAATAAATAAAGTGGCGATGAGCTGTGCCATAAGAGCGAGGGCCTCATCAAGTTGGGATAAATAGGATTTACTGAGCTACAGTACACAATCACAGGAACAAGAGGACTAGAAGCTTCAGCTTTTAGAAATGCCACACACATACACTTCTAGGTGGCAGGGGGGTGCAAAGCCAGAGATTACGTACTACTGCGGGTGTCTTTTCTTTCAACGAGACTCTGTGGCAGCCAAAATTTGTAGCTGAAAAGTAAGCTGCACAGAGCAGTTAGACAAGAGCACTACATTATTTGTGCAGTTTTTTGGGGGCTTGTGAAATGGAGCTAGAAATACCATTTTTTTTCCTGGGGTTGCATGGGATGCGACCGTAAGTGAATACATCATGGTGATAGGCTGGACATGACCCCTTTCCCTCTTAAGTGAAGGTTGAAGGAGCTATGTTGAATGAGAGGATTTAAAACACATTTTACTATTCTCAAGAATTTTATCTCTCATTGCAGGCTTTTTGGCAGGTAGTTAAGATTCCATGCAAATCATTTTAAAATAAAGAGGGTTGTGTGCTCACTGACTGTGTAGTGTTCAGTCTTCTGAATATATCTTGGTGTCATTTTCCAATAAAATGAGCAGGAATATAAACCTTGGGTTAAAAATAATTCAGAAATAGCAGTTATTCTATCCCTACAGCATGCAATGTGTAATCTTTGAAAACAAAATTACTCCCAGACACACAGAAATGCTTAATGTATAAAGCAAAAAGCTATTATTATATAGTCATCTTAGATTTCTTCTAAATGTGTGCACAGCACAAATAATTAATAAGTGAATGAACATTGTTAAACATGCCTGTTCGAAAGTCTCATCATTAGTTATTTCATTATATATTAATTGTTTTCCTGTATTGTATAACTTTTTTCTGTTGATATCAAGGTAAATAAAATATGATTCTTTTTCCAAGGATTTCAGAATCTATTAAAGAGACAGCTAGGGAAATTTATACAGCAATGTAATAAATGATATGTTAAAGATAAACATTATAGGAAATAATTCTTCTCCGTGGAAAGAAACCTTCCTTGGTGGCTGAATCTTCAGGTAACATAGAAGTTTGCCTTTTGATATATTTTTAAAGTGTTATACGTATCTCCCACCAAAAATATATTATTGGTACAATTTCTGAAGTTTTAAAAATTATAAACAATTTTATATTGACTCTGAAAGCAAATTATTGTCTAAATCAGTAGTACACAGTTTATTTTACTGAGAAAGTTTTATTTGCCTTAACTATTATATAAAATATATTAAATAAAATGGGTTTTTCATTTAAAATGATATACTGTCTTATTTCTTATATATCAGAATAAATTCCAAATGGATCAAGGATTTTCGTGTTAGAAATAGTACAGTGAAAGTACACGAAGACAAAATAAAATGATTTGTATACTTTCTTAATGAAAAATAAAGGATAAAATTGTCACATTTAAAAATATTCTACAGTAAAAAATGGCATTAAAAAACAAAAGAAAAAATGACAACCTGTAGTAAACATCTTTGCAACAAATAAGCATTAATTTTCTAAATTCATAGAAATATACTTAAAACTGAAAATCAAAGGATCAATAAAAACAATAGGATATTTTTAAGTACATGAAACAGATTATGCAAACACACATGAAAAATGCACACTTCTTTTTTTCGGGTGTGGAACATTAACATAATTAGACATGAATTTTCCTTCATCCAATTGACAGTTGTTCACGGGATTGGAAGAATGTGGAGATACAGATACCCTCCTCTACTCTGGGAAAGGGAGTAAGATATCCTTAAGACAAATTTAGTAAAAACTGCAAGAAATTAATGGAGCAATTTTACTTCTACATATCTATTTATCCTACATATCTATTTACATGTGTTGATAGCAGTAATGCTGATTACAGTATTGTTTGAAAGAAAATCTCAAAAACAATCTAAAAGCTCATCACTAAGAACTAGATCAATTATCATGTGTCCATAAAACAGAATATTATGTGACTATTAGCAAGCATAATATAAATCTATATATACTGCTTTGGAATTAATTATATCAAAGAGATGTAGATATAGGACTAAACACACACAAACAAGATGTCAGGACATCTTTGTAAAATTTTCTCATTCATTTTAATAAACACACATATGACCTTGTATTAGTTTGCACTCTGAAATTACTGATATTTGACATTTTTAACCTAAAGAAAAGGGACTCTCATAGAGTTCCAACTAATATCTAAAAGTAGTTTCTTGAAGGATAGTCAGGAAACTGTTAAAACTGTTTGCCTCTGGGGAGAGCATCTAATGCAGAAGGCAGGTGCAATTTTAAGCTTTTAAACAAGTTCATGTATTACTTTTCAGCTGAAAAGGGATTTTTTTAATTACACAAGTTAAAATAAATAACTGCATTGGCAACAGACAAAAAAATTGAGCAATATATTGAAAAATCTTTACATAATCCCTATCACTTATATTACAAGAACTTTGGTGATCTCTTACTTTTCTTTCTTTCTTTCTTTTTTCTTTTTTTTTTTTTTTTGGTAGTAACCTCCACATGCTGGAATGCCTCAGAGTACATTTTAATATGATTGCATCAAATAAATACCAAATTTGAAAATAGAAAAGCATTAAACCAATTACATAGGTGTCCACTTTAGGTTTTCTTGAATGTCCTGAGAATGGAAATCATATCAAACAAATTGTAGTGAAACTTTATAGGGTCATTTTCTTTACATATCCTTTCCTTTTCCTAAAGAACCACTCCTGTTTTTCCCCTTCCCAAATCTTTAGTTCTCTAGCCCTCATTTCCCATTCTCTTTTGCTGCAATCCACCTGTCTGAACCATTTGCCCAGGTCTAAGCCTCTGTCTTTGCATCTCAGCCCTGCCTGGTACCTGTCCAGCAAGGGACTGGAAGCTGCTGGTAAGAAAGGTTGCTTCTCCATCAGCAGTCATGGAGGAGAAGGCGGATCTAAAACATTAAGACATGCCCCCTCTTATCTGTCACATCATGCCTCATATATCTATTTTATAACAACCCCCTCAAAATTGGAAAATAAAAGATCTCTTTAAAACTTAAGCCAGGTCATGATGTAGGGTCTCAAGATCTGCCCTGCCCCCACCTTGCCAACCTATGTGGCTCTCTTCTCTCTCGTCTCTGGCTCTCCTCCCCTCATCACGCTGGCCTCCAAGCTCTCATTCCAACATGCCAGGCAGGCTTCCCCACACACCCGTATATCTCAATTCCTACTTCCTCACCTCTTTCAGGTTTTAATTCAGTTACCACCTTCTTGGTAAAACTAACCAAGACCAACCTTAGAAAAGCCTTTGATGCCTACCTTGAAATCCTCATACTTTGCTCTTTCACTCTCTCTGGCTCTTTATTTTTTACATAGCACCGATCACATTCTATATAATATAGCATTTATTTATTTTATGTATATTGTTTATCACCTCTCTCTCTGTTCTGTCTAGGTCAGCTCCATCAGGTAAGGGGTTTTGTTTTGTTTTCCATTTTGATGTCAAGAATATATATCAATGTTTGAGATACAGGGAGTGCTAGTCAAGTACCTTACTTTGAGTTGCTGATTTTCTTTTTCTTCTCTCCTGTTTTTACTTATTTTTTCTTTTTTAGATGTCAATATTATTTTCAAGTAATTATGAATCAGTTTGTACTTTAATCTGAGATATCTTGAAGGGATAAGTTTATTGGTAGCCCATGGTGATGGCTTTGTGCAAATTAGAAAACAATGTCATTTTTGTAAAGACAAAGCTGCAAGTTGTGTAACTTGCAGTGCTAATCATGGGCTAGTGGTTAGACTATATTCACCCTGGGGAAATACAGGCTAACACTTGTGCAAGAAAAAAGGAAAAAAAAAACTGTCACAACTGTACATTACAAATGAAGGATGTAAAATTACTACATTCTATAGGCATTGAAAAGACAACAGGAACTATTATGAAAAACGTTATGTCAAAGAATTTGACAACTTTGATGAAATGGACAAAGACCTTAAAGATACAAACTACTAGAGTTCGTTCATGAAAAAATAGATAAGATAAATACCCTGATATTTAGAAAAGAAATTGAATATGGTGTTAAGTAGCTTACACATACACAGAAAAAAAAAAAAATCCCTCTAAGCTCACATGGTTCACTTTTGAAGTCTGCCAAACATTTAAAAGAAATGAAACAAAAGAAAATCTGATTCTACACAAACTCTTCCAGGATATTTAAAGAAGGAAATATTATCTAACTAATTCTAAGGTCAAGCATTACCTTGATTCCAAAACCAGACAAAGACTTTACAAGAAAATAAAAACATAAACCAATATTTTCCATGAACATAAATTCAAAAGTCCTTAATTATTTAGAAAATTAAATCCAGCCACACTTTATATAGAAAAGTATATTGCATCATAATCAAACAAGTATTTATCTTAGAGACACAAAAGTAAATTAACATTTGAAAATTAATCATTGTAATTCAGTATATGTACTAACTATAATAAAACATATAACCATCTCAAATGAGAAAACTTATTTAACAGAATCCAACATTCATTCCTGATAGAAAAACAAAAAACTCTTGGGAATGTAGGAATGGCAGACAACTTTCTCAGTAAATGGCATTTATGAAAAATCTACATTAAATATACTTTTTAGTTAAAATTAGAAGTTTGTTCCTTAAGATCAGGATTCAGACAATATGTTCATATTTACCACTTCTATTCAGAATTGTGAATCTCAAAATTATTATGCAAAGTAAAAAAGCCAGAAAAAAAAAAGAGTATGTACTAATTGATTCCATTTAGAGAAAACACTAAAAAATACAAACTAATCTATAATAGAAAACCGATTAGTGGTTGCCAGGGAAAGGGGACTGTGGAAGTGGGGGCGGGAGAGATTAAATAGGAATAGTTAGAAACTTTTTGGGTGAGGCATACTTTCATTATTGTGATTGAGGTTCATGATTTCATGGATGTATACTCACATTAAAATTTATTATTTTTTGCATTTTAAATATGTGCAGTTTATTTTATGAATTAAACCTAGATAAAACTGTTAAGGGATACTTTTTTCAATCATTTTTCACATGGGAAGTATATGTTAGCTATGCCATTTTGAAGGGGAAGAGAATAAATAGGCTTTACAGTTTTTATTTTTAAATAAAGCTGGGAAATGCTAAATGGGAATGAGGAGGCTATAATTGTTGACTCTTTGACAATGGAATTTCAAACATTAATGGCTTGTTCTAGATAGTACAAATTCACTGATTTCATTATTCTGAGCTCAAGTAATCTTTGAAATCTGGGAGTGGATTTATTACCGGAGACATAAGGAAAGAAATATAATAAACATTGCAAATGGAACAATCGTGAATCAAGGTTATATTTTAGAATTATCCCAAACAATGGCAAGTGCCTTGTCTAGATATTTTCTTCCATCATTAAAATATTTCACAGAAAATCATCAAAAGCCTGGAGAAATACTTGTCTGGACTTTCTACATGATAGTCCCGGATGCAATTATAGTAGTATAGCTGTCTCTGCAATTTTTTTTTAAACTTTTACACACATTAAAATATTCTAGGCTGGGCATGGTGGCTCACGCCTGTAATTCCAGCACTTTGGGAGGATATTTGATAATTTGAGGTCAGGAGTTCGAGGCCACATGGTGAAACCCCATCTCTATTAAAAATACAAAAAATTAGCTGGGCATAGTGGGGTGGTTGCCTGTAGTCCTAGCTACTCAGGAGGCTGAGGCAGGAGAATAACTTGAACATGGGGGTGAAGGTTGCAGAGAGCCAAGATCGTGCCACTGCACTTCAGCCTGGGCAACAGAGCGAGCGAGCGAGACTCCGTCTCCAGCAAAACAAAGCAAAACAGAAAACCAAAGAAAAATATTCTAAAGAAAAAAAAAATCAGTTGTTGTTTTAATAGGTTCAGAGGTAAGTTTGCCATATCTTATTTACCATGAATGACTCTAGTAATGGCAATGCCATCAATGCCTCTCATCTTCCAATGGTTGCCTTTTCTTCTGTTATTACTGGACTGTTGGGACTGGTAGCACTGGTCATATAAGATGCCCACAGTTGCTAAAGGAGGACACTGTTAGAAATAAAGTGACGGCCGGGTGCAATGGCTCATGTATGTAATCCCAACACTTTGGGAGGTTGAGGCGGGCAAATCGCCTGAGGTCAGGAGTTCAAGACCAGCCTGGCCAACATGGTGAAATCCCATCTCTACTAAAAATACAAAAATTATCTGGGCATGGTGGTGGTTGCCTGTAATCCCAGCTACTCCAGAGGCTGAGGCAAGTGAATCACTTGAACCTGGGAGGCGGAGGTTGCAGTGAGCTGAGACCGGGACATTGCACTCTAGTGTGGGCGACAAGAGCAAAACTCCCTCTCAAAAAAAAAAAAAAAAAAAAAAAAAAAAAAAAAAAAAAACTGGAAAGAAAAGAAATAAAGTGACTACTGCAATAGATAAAATAAATTGCCCAGCTGCCTCCAGGTTTGCTATTTTTTCATTATCAGTGTTTTCTTGACAGTGTTAAAACATTTGGCCCCCTAAATTCACAGTTTATTGGAACACTTGATGAAAGCTGAATCTCTGTAGTCATGCTGTTAGTGACTCACTCTTCCTTTGAAATGTCTAATGCATAGATTTGGTGAAATGCTGTTTTCTTAGGAAAGTTTGGTGGACATTAAAATTGCTTTTGCAAGTGAAATTAAAGACATTAATGTAAAGTGGCAGTGCTAATAGCCAGATAATTGCAGTGTTAGAATAAATTTCAGAGTAATTTTGACTACCAACCATCTCTTCACAGCTAAACTTCAGATAAAAATAAATTTTACATGGAACCGTACTGAGATTTCTGCTCAGGATCTTTACCCAATTATCTCTTGCGTTCCTGTTATTTTTTTCTAACTGTTTGAGTTTCATGTAGAGTGCTCTCCATTCTTTTTCTGTCAATTTATTAATAATATATTTTGCTTACGGTTCACTTCTTATCAGTTTAATTTTATTTTACTTGGACAGAGAATGGTCTGTAGTTTTCTTAGTAAGAAAACTGACCAGGCTAAGCTATCGTTGTTTTTTTATGTCCTCCCTCCTTTATTTTCAATGTCCTCCCTCTTCCATTTTTAGAACATATCCTATTTTTTCTAAGTTATTTATGTAAGTCAGATGGATTTACTGTTAATATGTTAATCTGTATATAGTGAAAATTAAGAACCTATTTTTCCTAAATCATGCAGGCATACATTAATTCCTTTGACAAATATTTACTGAGCATTTCCTGTATACCAGATCATATGCTAATTGCTGAAGGTTCTTACTTAAATATTTACTATTCCCTCGTCTGACAATTACTCACTGGGCTCTTACTATATCCTAGGCATTGTTTCAGGAGCTAGGATACAGTAGTTACAGCAAACCAACACACAAACTAACTCAAGTCCTCTCTCATGGAGACTGAATTCTATTGAGGAAAACAGCCTTCTCCCCAGTCCCTGAATATACACCCTTACTCACACATATATATTTTAATATAATGTACACATATAAATATATAAACAGCATATTAAATATATAGAATGTCTATTATATATTGTAACAAGTATATATAAGTAATATTACATATGTGATATTAAATACATACACAAATATGTATATATATATACAGAGAGGCATATGTTTTAAGTAATTTTATTTTACTTACCTCCCTATTACTGTGCCATTTCATAGGGCTACTAAAATTATTATGTGCCTTTCTATTATTGGTACTCTGGTATATTTGTGTGTGTGTGTGTGTTTGTGTGTATGCGTGTGTGCGTGTGCACATGCACGCCTGTGTGCTGTTGGGCAGGTGATCAATGATGATAAGTCTGTAGCCAGAGCTAAGACCATGTGTGTGGCGTATTTATGTATTCATGATTATAAAAGTCCCAGTGGTCTGCTGAGGTGGTCTAGGTTGGTCTGCTGAGGTTGGGTTGCTATCCAACACAAAACGCAAGCACTAATCAAATGTTTGTTTGGATAAAGAGCAAGAACAGATGCTCCAAATGAATACATTAAACAGAGACCCTTGGGTCATTAAAGCTTCATGCCTTTGATCTAACAAACTCAGATCTACAGACGCCTCATCAGTGGTGAAGCTGTTTCCCATCTGCTGGGGGTGGGGACCTAGTTCTCATGGAGGGTTTTGAGGACAAGCATCTCTTCCTCCCAATGCCCTGATTATAACAAGCCAGGAAAGAGAGCCCAAAGCCAAATGCCCCTGCCATTGTTGGCGATATTGATGTCACGTTTGCTGTACGTGAATAGTTCTTCTTCTAAAGTAATAGATTCATATTGTTTGCTGTCCTGGCTGTCTCTTTTCTTTTCTTTCATATCTTTTGTTGTGTTTTTAAAGTGACTTTTATATATGAATACAAAGCAACTCACGAAGTAGGGTGTGGGTTGGGGGCAAGAAGTGCCCTGCAGGCTTTGGACTGTTTGTCCACCAGGTATAATCACACTCTGCTTTAGAAAACTTTTAAAGTCATCAGCAAGGCTCAAACAGACTCTTTTAAAAAAAAAAAAATCATGAATTCTCATGAGCCAATTCACAGATTGTATTTATAATTAATAGAAGGTCTGGGGTATCCTATCCTCTAAAAGATGCTTAGACACAAAGAGCAGTCCTTGAAATTATCAAGGTATTTGTCTCAAAACCACACAGGAAACAACTTCAGCCCTCAGTACCAGAGACAGACAGTCAATCATAGTTCAAATAGCCACATGGACAATTCAGAAGAGCCAGGCTGAAGCTACAGAGCAAGGGAATGGATATGTGCCAAGTGCCAGTGCCCAGCTACTGCACTAGCATTTTCACATGAACTCCCAGGTTTAAGGCCCCCTCCACCTCTGGGAGGGAGCATAACATTTAGATCCTCTTGACTTGACCAAAAAAGCTTGGGCAGGGTAGAAGTACATCTCTCCCTCAAATAATTAGAACCTGAGGTAAGAGTCAACAGCAGGTATAAAGGCTCCATAAAACCTTTGAGGCCACATGGTTCTTTTAACTTTATACCTTGTCCTCCCTAGCATGAGGCTTCCATCCTCAAGGTTACAAGACAGCTACTAGAGCCCCAGCCGATGTAACTGTATTCCAGGTAGGAAGAAGAAAAAGACAACATGGGGTAAAAAGAGCCTTTCTTGAAGCCCATTTCATGACTTCTATCTGAAATCTCTTAGATGATTAGATGTACTCATTGCCATTATAAATAAAAAACCATGTTCTCTTACCAAGAAAGGAGAATAATATCGGATAGGTAACTAGCAGTCTCTGAGCAAAAAGGTATAATTATTCCCATTGAAAACTGAGTCTCAAAGAGATAAATGAACTGAACCAAGGTCCTCACAGAGTCAGTCAATGGCAACTGACAGTTTTCCCAGAGGAACATCTGTTATGGCATGGACCACAGGAGTCACAGCTTGAGTCTAAGCAGGGGCTGAGGTTGTCTGAATTCATCTGCCATTGAGGTTTCCTGGGATTTAATTGCATAAGTCAATTAGAATTCTAATTTTTGTATGAGACAAACAAAAGCACCAGGGTGTGCAGAGAATGTAGATCTGAAAAGGACTGTGAAGGGATGTGAGGGAGAGCTATAACCTATCTGGGTATCTTTTTTTAACAATAGCCTCATAAGCACATATCCAAACCTAAGGAGTTAGCAAAGGAGGAAGGAGAATTCTAGGATCACCAAGCCTTAGCATCAATCAACAGGGAGTAAAAAAGATGGTATTCACTGACCTTTTTGAAAACACAGTGTGCCCTGAGCTCAGCGAGAACTTCAATAATGTCAATAGCTCATCAAGTGTTTGCAGCTTTGGGGTGATGTGTTCTTGTCAAGGGAGGACATGAGCACTGCTGCAAACACTAGAAAATGATATTAGCACAAACACTAGAAATATCAGGTTTGTAAGAAGATACTTGAGGTTACAGCCAACCTTCCACTTGCTTCAGGTTGGCCATCAATAATGGGTGCATTTATAGTAAGCCTTCAATTCCCAAATTATATCTGGAGTTTGAAAAACCAATGGCAAGAGGCATTGCCTGATTCAGGAAACACATCCAAGCCAACTGACCTGTTAGGTCACTGACCACAGTTGAATGTAACGTTTATGGGAAGCTTGGATCAACGAACTGGGCAGCCTTATTATGCTGACCCATGGTATGTCTACTCTTTGGGGAGGCTTTTCATGTGGTGGGAGTAAGAAAGCCCCAGGCTTACAGTTTGATATTTAATGTGTTCAAATCTGCTTTTCTCTTACACCTTTACCCCCATGCTTCTAAAAGGAATTTGTATGTCCATAATATATATCATTACACTGTGGTGACAATTGTACTGGGGCTGATTCAAACTTGGAGCTAATAAACAATAAATAGTTTAAATAATACTGCCATACAATTTCTGTCATTACTCTCTGCACCACCTCCTCTCCTCCATGAGTTTCATCCTGTCCATCAGTTCTCTTTAGTACTAGCTGATTAAAAAGTAGATATCCTGCCAATAAATCTAGTAAGCTGTGAAACATTTGAGACACACACTTCCGAGACTGTTTTCATCAGTGGTAGATTAGTAACAATTTGCTAATGAAGATTTTCTTTTAATTATTGGGGAAAAGGCATTTCTTAATTAATAGGAAGATTGGTTTCATCCAGATTAATTATTGCCGGGAATGTGTCCCAAGCCCACTAGGCACAAGCTATTTAAAGTTATCATATTAGCAACAAAGTTAAGCAGCTTGGGGTTTAGTCTTAATAATGCGGACCATGGTAATTAAGTTGAGGCTTATGGATGGAGGGTCTTCAGGGGGGTCCATGAACTCATAAAATTTGATGGAATATGTTTCATAACTTTCTCAGCTTCTCAATGAGGCACATGATGGCCGAGTATGAGCAATAGTCTCTGGGGTCGCTGTCATCCGTGTTCCCACAGCATGCACTCCCACCGTCCAGCTTTCACTCCATGATGGTCCAGTAACTAGTCATTAGTGAGGCCAGAAATCAGTGACAAAGGAATCACAGCCTCGAGTTGAAGAGACCACAAAGATCACCACAACCAGGTCTCTCATTCTAATTTTTGTCACTGAATGCTGACTAACAAAGTGTTAGTATCTCATTTTCTTTTCATCAATACTCTACAGCTCATGATCCATATTCTCCGCCTTCTCACGATGATGTCCATTATTTCCCTTTTTCAGTTTTCCATCATGATACATGGAATTCAGCTCCATATTTGATGAATATCCTTCTATTTTCATTCCCAGCCATTGTTCTGATTGTTTGCTCCATCCCGTTCCTGAAACCTGATTGCACCTTGTTGACCTTCTTCAGAGAAGGCTGATTTCTATGTGCCCCTTCTGTTCCTCATGTTCTGAAAGTAGGTTTGATATCCTGCTGATTACTCAAGCCCTTCCTATAGCACGTACTTCTTCAGTTCTTGAACAATAGTGTTATTCTTTGAGATACAACATATCACAATTCATCCTAGCCTGCTTATTATCATCAACAATTTTTTGTAGACACCATCTTTTATTAAAATGTTGGTATTATCCCAGTTCTACCCATGACCTTGACGGTCTCATCTCCAGTAATTTTTTCTTCCACTTCATCATATCCACCCACTTTCATGATCACACTTTGGATCTAATCATCAACTCTGTACTAATTCCATTGCTGTGCTCTCAGAAAACTTTGTCTCCTCATGACTGGTTTATTCAGTAATACCTACCTTGATCTTTTATTAACCTCATAAGCATCTTTAGTCCTTTGATCCCTCTTTTTTTAATACCATACCAGCAACCTTAACATTTTCCTTTCTTTCTTTATCCTGCTTAGATTCCTTGGCCCATCAATTCAGGAACTTCAGTGCACCTCCACATAACAGAGTGCGAAGAACATTTCTGAGTGCTTATTTCACATGAAATCTCAACAATATTTTACCCATTGAACCCACCCTCTCTGTGGTGACTTTTCTTTTCCCTGGGCATCCACTCTACTAGCTTTGCTCCAATTATCTGGCTACTACTTCATTTTTTTTCTTTCAGACAGTCTCACTCTGTTGCACAGGATGAGTACAGTGGCGCGATCTCGGCTCACTGCAACCTACACCTCCCAGGTTCAAGCGATTCTCCTGCCTCAGCCTTCAGAGTAGCTGAGGTTACAGGCATGTGCCACCATGCCCAGCTAATTTTTGTATTTTTAGTAGAGACAGGGTTTCGCCAGGCTGGTCAGGCTGGTCTCGATCTCCCGACCTCAGGTGATCCACCCGCCTTTGCCTCCCAATGGCTACTACTTCTTTACAGATCCATTTGCAAGCTGAGCCTTTTCTTCTCAGCCATCAGTTGCTGGAGAGCCTCTGCTTATGTTCTCAGGCCCCCTTCATAAATTACTCTGTATTCTCTCCCTTGGTGCTATTCTTTATCATCTATGTGAGCAAGTCTTCAAACCTTTATTATAGCTCAAAATTCTCCAGAGAGATATAGATGTTCATAACTCCTTCCCTTGACTGTCTTAATGGAAAATTAAATTCAACTTGTCCACAATTAAAATGTCAATTATCCCATTTAACCTGATTATTTTCCAGGTATGCTTCTCAGAGTGAGACCCTATTCCCATCAGGTTCCATAGTCTGAAATCCTCAGCCTTCCCTCTGACACTACTCTTTCCCTTATTTGCATCTAAAAAAAATTGATTTTCTGTCTCTCAGATCCATCCATTTCACTTTCATCTCCATTTCCACCACCATAGCCCAAGTTACCATTTATAATTTTCTGGACGAATGTTGAATAATTTCCATTTTGACATTGCCGTATGGTTAATCCCTTGAATCCTCTTCCCACCATGGCTAGAGTTCTTTACAAACTGCAGATCTGACTTCTATCCCAATTCTGACCCTTTATCCTCCACTGTTAAATCCAATCATGGCTTCCTGTTGCTCAGTTTGCTTTTCCAGAGGTAATCTGAAAATAGAACACTTTATTCTTCGTATTCCAGCCATGTGTTTATTCATTTTTATACTTGGATATGGTAATAAATATTTGTGAGATGACTTTAATAAATGCATGATACATTATATATACAGAGTGTAGTAGGGTACTTGCACATCGTCTAGAAACTTTAATGCAACAGTGATTCTACACAAACCTCATTTCCATCTTTGGGAGTTTGAACAGCACCTGATTTAAGTTGAAAGAAGCAGAGTTCTGTGTTTCTGACTGGGGTCCACAGCAGAGCGCCCCTGCCTCTACGTCCATTCTCCTCACCTTGGGTTCCAACACTGACACAAAAATGAGGGACTATAGTCCTCTGAACTCAGGAGTGGTCAAAACATAACCTAAAGCCCAAAGGTAGCTGGAAGAGTTGTGATATGATTCTCATAACCAACTCTTCTCTAGGTGGCACACAGAGATTTTTGTCGGTTTACTGAAACAGGCACCACCCTGAGGCAGTACCATGGTTCTGAGTGTAAACACTGCCCAGATGTGGCTCTTTCATGCCTCGGGTGTGAGGCAGATGTGAAGAATGATGTCTCCAGCACCAGGAGCAGGGCTTAGCGATCTGATGTTAATGTGTTTTTTTCCAGCTGTGATTTGGATATCTCAACAGTGGAATAATTTGCCCAAAGTACCCGTTGACTCTAAGTAGTCTTTAGTGCGGTGCTCAAAAGGCTTTACACAGAGATACTGCCTGGAAGGAAAGCTAATTTTTTTTTAACTCACAGGCCTGAGATAATGACGAAAGGAGAGGAGAATAAAATTAAAGAGAGGAAGACTTGAGAGGAGGTGAAAGTATACCATCTACCCTGGGGCACCCCCAGCCAAGTGATATTAAGTCTTACTCCTTGTCAAGAATGTCAGAATCCTCTTGTGTGTGTGCTCCCAACAGTTACTTGGACCTTGGGAAGCCAGAATTCAGGAACATGAGCAGACTTCATGATTCTGCTAGTAACTCTTTGTTCACCCCAAGAACAGCTCTCAAGAGCCCTTCTAGCAGTAACATCTCAGATAACTTCATGTTTATACATATGTATGCATACACCCACAGGCATGAGGAAAATTTTAGATGCAAAGCTGACAACATTCCAAAATTTTTGTAGAAATTTGCTAAGCAATAGAAATATATCAGTGAAAATAATACAGGAGCTAAATTTATACGTCAGTTTCTTGCTCACCAACGCAGTTTTTCAATATCAAGGAAGTGAAAAATTAAACCAGCTTCCTCCCTCCCTCCCTTATTTTCTTTCTTCCTTTCTCTTTTCTTCTCCTCTTCCCTCTTCTTCTCTGCCCGCACCCTCTCCTTTTTAACTTTTATTTGCCTGTTTGCCTTTACTTTTATTTTCAAAGCCCTTTGAGGCAGAGATGAACTTCTGGCAGAATGTCTAAAATTAGCTAGGTTCTCTGGAAATGCAGAACTATTTATGATACAGTTGGCTTTCTCAGTACTACAGAGAGCCAATAATAACCACTCTTAAATGATCCTGAATGTGGCTAGTATGCTTCATTGTTGGGAAATCTGATTTTATTACCCTCTTAGATTCTATATTTTTAATGTATTTTGTAACCAATGAGATTTCCACAAGAAATAAGGATTTGGCCTTCCCCTTGATGAGTCAAGCCTGCATATTCCCCTATGAGTCATGAGTCTGCATATTATTAGATTGGAGTTGTTCCTGCTAGATACAGGCCAAATTTACCCCAATTTGAAAATATCAAACACTGTAATCTTAATATAATATTTTGATGTGTCTATTATTAGGAATGGCCAGAGCAAACAGTTGAGATCTGTAAGTTCATATTTAGGACCAAGTTTCCATGCTCTGTGTAGAGACTGAGAAGCGTTCTGAGCCTCCATCAGCAGCTGTTGCGTCCACTGAATAATTCATTCAGGAAACAAGGACTGAGTACCTTTCATGTGCCAGATTATCTCGAAGGCTCTGGTGACCTTAGGATGAACAAAAAATTATGCTTTCACAAGTAGAAGGAAACGAGTATGAATTTGGGAATTGTCTGCCTTTACATTATAGATTGCCTCTATTTTCTGGTGGGAGTTTAGCCTCATGATATTGGTGAGAGCCACAGATCCTGAAGGGCATGAATTTAAGGCTCAGCTATGCTACTTCCCATCTGGGAACTGCTGTTAAAGTCGGTAAATGCTCAAGAAATCAATCAGAGGCCCTTCTCCTCGTTCTTCTTTATTTTCCATCATCACCACCATCGTCACCTATAATCACCATGATGATATTAGATATTGGTGCAAGTAGAATCAGAGATGTGTATTGTTTGATCCAAATATTGTATGTTGCAAATTGAAAGTCTGCCATCCTATAAATATGAAGGAGCAGTTAGGGAGTTTCAGTAATAAGCAAAAATGAAGGTAAGTAACTTGGACTAGTCAGCCATTTATGATGGTAATAATAATAATAATAATAATAATAATAATAATAATAATCAGAAATAACAAAGTAACTGTGAAGTTGAGATATTTGAAGACTAGTCCCAGTACTAAGGTGCTTTGGGGCAATGCGCAGTTTTCTAAAAGTAATCATTTTCTTGGGTTGGACACAGAATAAATTTTTAGTACTTTATTTTCCTGGTTCTTCAGTTCAATTTTGCTACCCAAACTTACTACCAATTATGGTTTCTTTACTTCAAAATTCCAAAGCTCCCCAGCAATTTGCAGGGTGAGATTTTGTGTGACTGCTGGAAGGCACATTCCAAAACATAAAGAAACTTTGCCATTGGCAGAAATGGCCTTTCTGGGACACATTCATCAAAAATGTGAAATGAGAATTTAAAAAGCCGCAACATGCCGGGCGCGGTGGCTCTCGCCTGTAATCCCAGCACTTTGGGAGGCCGAGGCGGGTGGATCACGAGGTCAGGAGATCGAGAGCATCCTGGCTAACACGGTGAGACCCCGTCTCTACTAAAAATACAAAAAATAAGCCGGGCGTGGTGGTGGGCGCCTGTAGTCCCAGCTGCTCAGGAGGCTGAGGCAGGAGAATGGCGTGAACCCGGGAGGCGGAGCTTGCAGTGAGCCGAGATCGCACCACTGCACTCCAGCCTGGGCGACAGAGAGAGACTCTGTCTCAAAAAAAAAAAAAGAAAACAAAAAAGCTGCAACATGTGGCATCCTCCACCACTCCCCTTTGGAGCCCAAGTGACAAGAAGAGAGAGTACTTTACTGAGAATCATTTTGTTTAGACCACTGTAAGACTTAAAAAAAATTAATAACTTTATTTCTTAAGTCGGTCAAGATGACCTTGATTCTGGTGATTAGAAAACCCTGTGTCTCCTGAACTCCTTGCCTTCTTTCACCCTACTCTCCCTCCCTCTGTCATTTCTTCCCACTCTTATTTCCCACTACTCATCATGTCTCCCTCTCTTTGTCTCTTTGCCTTCTTTCACATCTCTGTTTTTTTTCTATCTCTCCCTCACAAATCAATATTCTCCTCAGTAGTCACCCCATAAATGAAGCACAAACACACATCAACAAAAATGTGCACAAATACATGCGGCATAAACACACACAAACTCATTTTTGTCCACATTGCACAGTAAATTATCAGAGACTTGATAATACTTGTTAATGAGCTCAGTCACGCTTATTATTCAGTCCTATATCATTTTTCTACACCCAAATGAACAAGTATGGTTGTAGAGTTTTGGAGAGAGAGTACCTGCTCTTTATCAAACCTGTAGGAAGATTCTCTCATGACCACCATGTTATTTCAGGCAGTATCTTCCTTCCCTAGCTTACCTGTCTAGCAATAGATTTAAAGGACATATGTAAAGAGAAACTTAAGGTCATAATCTTCAGGACTCACAAAACAGGTATCTTCTCCTGTGGATCCTAAAGCTTATACATTTTCTTGGCTCTCTTCAAGAAAAAAAACAAAACAAAACAAAACAAAAACACAAATTTACAAGCAGAGAGAATTCACCAAAGTTAGCAGAGACTGGGAGATCCAGGTCCTCCTTTTGTGTTCTTTTTAGGCAATGCATTGAAACATGTTTGCATAGAGAGTTTCCTGATTGCAACCTGGCATCTCCTCTCTACCTGCAATTCTCTGCATTTCCCATCAATTCTCATCCTCCTTAGAGGGTTGAACAAGAGATGAACCCTGAAGCCTGGGCTCCATTCTCTGCACAGTAAGTCCACCTCTGGGAGGCAATAAGCCCAAGTTCCAACCTTCCCCCTTAGGTGGAAGGCAGCTGTGACAATGAGCTTGGGACCCTAGCCTGCATCCACAATATGTTGCCAGTCCATGCACATAGCTCCTCCTCCCACACCCCAAGGTCCTCACCAGTGCCTGGAAAACCCATCATGCTTCAGCGTACTATGGCCTTAAAACAGCTGCAACACTGTGACTCCTTTGTCTCTTTCTTAGTTATGTCACTCTCAGTAAGCTCCAGTTGTTACAGGAGAATGAATCTCTGGCTGGGACCTTACCTTGGGTGGTGTTGTTCTCATTGGTTGAAATATGTTAATGTGATCGAAAAGCCCAGAGTATCTGGTCTGTTTTTAGCTAAATATGGATTAAGGTCATTTCAGAAACTGGCTAAAGCAAGCATCTTTGACTCCCCGTTAAGGAGCAGATTGCCTTGAAAGTCTTTGATCTAGCCTGGATTTGTCATTTTTGCCACTCTGAAGATATATGGAGCAGTGGATTAGTGACTGTCATTCTTTGGAAGCACTGCTGAACAGGGTGCAGAGCTTGGACTTCAGGTTGGACAGCTCTGGTTTCTGAGTTCCAATCTTGACCCTGTCATTGGCTCTGTGACCTCACACATGTGGCTCAACTTCTCTCCTCTGTATTTCATCCTTTGTAAAATGAGGTAAACGATACTTCATAGGTGGTAAATACCTGATTACAGAGAGATGAACCAACTCAGTTGAAACCACACACCTATTCAAAAGTAGAACCAGAATTAGGGATGCTCCAATGTCACATGTGTGATTCCTCTACAAGAACAAGTGGGAGATAATTAGGCAGCAGTCAAAAATAATGTGAAGCTATGCTAACATCTATTTATCACAGGCAAAGTTTTGATTAATTAAATGAGTGAGAACTTTGTTCTTTGGCTTCCCCTACTCTCTTCACTGTCTATATCTCCCTATCCATCCTATATTTAAATGGTTATGTTTCCCAAGTTTCGGGCCTGAACTCTTCTGTTTTCTTTCTAGGTTTTATCCTTACTGATCTCTAATATCAGCAAAATTTCAGTTGTCTTCTCTGGCGTGTAAGTTGTAAATTTGCTTTTTTAAGAAAGCCCAAATCATGAAGATGATTTTCCTGAGACAGTGAAGACTAAGCTGAGCCAGAAAGAAGCAGGCCTCAAGCAGGCGAGAGTACTAGGAAAGAAATGTTTTAGGCAGTGGGGACAGAAAGTGCAAAGGGTGCCTGGTGAGAAGGAGCTGAGGCCATGAGGAGAATGGAGGACAGGCCATGTGGCCAGAGCACAGGAGAGGGGTGGCACCAGAGGAGACTGGAGAGGAGGAAGGGGGCATCTTTTTATATTGATTTTAAGGAAAATGGGGTATTGATTTGTTTGAAAATGCACCTGGGTGATAGACATGATCAGATTTATGGTAAAACAAACAAAAGAAATATGTGACCCCATGGCAAACAGAAGATTTCAGGGGCTAATGTCAATGTGGAGAGTAGTAATGAGCTTTCTGCCTTCATTTACGACTAATTACAGCAGCTTGGGTGATCATGGTGGTGGGGAGGAGATGTAAGGGGGAATGCTGCAGCAGGTCCTCAAATATTGTCATTTTGTTAGACTATTGACAAGGGAAAAACAAAACAAATCAAAACAAAACAAATCAAAACAAAACAATTCCAGGCCTGGGCCCCTGCCTGTGTGGAGTTTGCATGTTCCCCTCAAATCTGCATGGTTTTTTTGTTCGTTGGTTTGTTTGTTTTTGTGATGGAGTCTTACTCTGTCTCCTGGGCTGGAGTGCAGTGGCACGATCTCGGCTTACTGCAACTTTCGCCTCCCAGGTTCAAGCAATCCTCCTGCCTCAGCCTCCCTAGCAGCTGGGATTACAGGCATGCACCACCACACCCGGCTAATTTTTTGTGTTTTCAGTAGAGATGGGGTTTTACCATGTTGGCCAGGCTGGCCTCAGACTCCTGACCTCAGATGACCCACCTGCCTCAGCCTCCCAAAGTGTTGGGATTACAGGCGTGAGCCACCGTGCCCAGCCCTTCATGGGTTTTCTCAGGTATTGCTGTTTCCTCCCACATCCCAAAGATCTATGCATGAGGTCAATTGCTGCAGTGTGAGTGAGTGTGGGTGCATATGAATGAGTGCGCCCTGAGATGGGATGGCTGGCATCTTGTCCAGGGCTGGCCCCGCCTTGCACCCTGAGCTGCTGGGACAGGCTTTAGCCTCCCTTGACTCTGAGCTTGAATAATTGGGTAAATAATTATCTTACTTTTTAAATTCATCTTTCTTAAATGTATATATAGCTCACATTTGTTTCAATGGTAAATAGTAGAGGTCTTTATTTAAAATTGTGTGATATTTTTGTGACCAGAAATAGGCAGTAGGAACTTAACTCTTATTTATATCAATTAGCCTATAGTAAAATTGTTTTCATTATACTGTATTTTGCTTAAAGTGGCAATTTCTAAGAACCTATTGATGACATTAAGTAAAGACTTACTGTATTTGGAATTAAGGTGACATAGATTGCTGACAGATCAGATGTGGGAATGAAGGAAAGTGAGAGGTCAGGATAACTCCTTGATTCTGGCTTGAGTGCAGAATGAGTGGTATGAGGTCTACCAGGAGAGAGCACACTGGAGACAATCCAAAGTTTGGGGGTTGGGGGATGGAAGAATAGCCTCAGCTATAAATCTTCACTGGGCTTTCAGACAGGTTGAGTTTGAGATGACTTTGCAGTCGGGATCCATGTGAAGATACCAACTAGAAAGTTAGGTCTGGAGCTCAAAGGAGAGGCCTATGCTAAAAATATAAATATGTGGAGTATCTTTAAGTAAGTGACCATTTAAGCCAGTGTCATGAATTCAAATGCTCAGAGGGAAAGAACATAGATCCAGGAGAGAACGATCCTAGGGTTCAAGACTGAACCTTGGAACTTCAGCAATAAAAGGCGGGTTTAGGAGAATGATTGAATTAGTCCAGCATACAAGATGTTCAACAGTGTTGCTGGGCAACGTCAGGGTAGCCATATGATTTCTTGTACAAATGAGGGGCCTTTTGAAAGTGAAAGAGTGCTAACCAGGAGTATCAAGGCAACATGTGTAAACTGGGACTCTGTATGGCAAAATTAGACAAAGCAAGTAGTTAGATTTATTCAGGTTGGAATTGTGACAGATATGCACACCAGGAAAATAAAGAGACAAGAGAACTCAATATGGAATTAGTCATCAAATGCCATCTAGTTGACATTCTTGCCTATTAATCTCTTCCTGCATGTTACTACATAAACTTTCCACACTATGTATTTTTTCATATTGCCTCATTTTTGTTCAAAAACAACAATGGCTCTCAGTTGTCAGGGTGAGAGTTTAGAATCCCTAGCTAAAAACCCAAACTCTTAGTTCATCTGGCCTATCTTTTTAATCTCTCATTTACTTTAATCTCTCATTAGCTTTCCCGAGAGTCATATTTGCCTTTTTACTGACACTTAAACATGGCTTAAGTATCATCTTCTCTAGACTTTTAATAAGTAATTGAATATAGTCCCCTTTATGATCCCAGCAAGGAATGAGCCTTATTGTCTATCAGTCATTTGAATCTACTAGGAGGATGGTTCATCCAGCACTCTATATCTGATAACATCGGGAGCATCAGTTTCCAGGGAAGTACATTCAGGTAAAGTGAGAATGTTGTGCTGGATGCGAAGTCTCAGATCTCTCAGATGAAGTCCCGTTTTGTTCCCCACCCCCACCTGCCGTAATGAATTCTTTAACCACCTGATGGGTTCTCCTGCCCACTGCACAAACAAAATTAATTCACATAATTGCAGAAAAGAAAGAGTTTAATTGACATGAGGCCGGCCACACCATGGGGGAGAGGGAATTATTATCTCCTCAAAGGCTTCTAGATTAGGGGGTTTTATTTATATTTATTTATTTATTTATTTATTTATTTATTTATTTTTTGAGACGGAACCTCACTGTGTCGCCCAGGCTGGAGTGCAATGGCGCGCCTCGGCTCACTGCAACCTCCGCCTCCTGGGTTCAAGCGATTCTTCCTCCCCAACCCCCTGAGTAGCTGGGATTACAGGCACCCGCCATCATGCTGGCTAATTTTTGTATGTTTGTAGAGATGGGGTTTCTCTATGTTGACGAGGCTGCTCTTGAACTCCTGACCTCAGGTGGTCCGCCCACCTCGGCCTCCCAAAGTGCTGGGATTACAGGTGTGAGACACTGCACCCGGCCTTGGGGTTTTTCAAAGATTGTTTGGGGGAAGTGATGGGAGTGGCTAGACAATGGTTGTTTGTTGCTGATTGGTTGGGGGTGAAGTCATAGGGTTATGGGAAATGTTCCTCCTGTGTGCTGAATAGTTTCTGGTGGGGCCACAAGAGCAGTTGGTGAGTCCAGGTGAAGCCAGGTGTCAGACATGCAAAGAACCCGAAAAGACATTTCAAAAGGCCAATCTTAGGTTCAATAATAGTGATGCTGTCCACAGGGGTAATCGGGGAAGTTAGCATACCTTTTGATCTCTTGAATAATGACTGGCAATCCTTTATGTCTACACCTTAGCAGAATTCAGCCCCCTCTATCTGCCTAGCCTGGTGGTCTCTCATTAGCTTTACAAAAGTGGTTGAGTTTTGGGGAAAGGCTGTTATCATTTAACCTATAAATTAAATGCCTCCCAAGGCTAGCTTGGCTTAAGCAGCCAAGGAATAATTAAAAGCAGTTTGAAGGCTCAAGGCAAGAGGGGAGTTGGCTAGATCAGATCTCCCCCACTGCCATAATTTTCTCACTGTTATAATTTTTGCAAAGGCAGTTTCAGTTCTAGTACTCTATCTGGGATGTACCTTACTTCACTTACAAATAAGCACAGATCATATTTTGTATCTACATAACTAGGCAAGAACCATCCTGAAAGGGTAACAAATTCTATGAATCCATCCAAATATAAAAATATTCACACGATGTTTCTGTAATTCCACACAGTTAGAAAAAAAATCATATAGGAATCAGGGAGGTGTATTCTCATTCAATAATAGAAACAAAATGTCTTTATTTTGCTTAAAATTAACAGGAAAAAGCAACAGCATTGCAGTAAAGAAAGAGTTTCATTGACACGAGGCCAGCCACACTATGTAGAAGAGGGAGTTATTATAGGAATCAACAGAAAAAAGTCCCAGCCCTTCTGTTCACATGCTTTAAAAAAAACTATCATAACATCAAAATTGAACTTCTGTCTTCATTAATAATCATAAGCTACCACATATTATGTTGATTAAAAAAAAATTGAAACATCTGCTTGGATTGCCTTAAGGAAGACTAACCTGTTTTCCTGCTAAGGGTGTTTGCATTCTTTGTAACTCTAAAGGTGAAAGGACATCAGGGGACCGCCCCCAGCCACCCTCTTATTCATGTTCCTGGATCACAGAAAAAGGTGAACATATTTTGGTCTGCCATTTCTATTTGTGGTTTTTTTGTTTGTTTTTTTTCAAGATGGAGTCTCACTCTGTCACCCAGGCTGGAGTGCAGTGGCACAATCTTGGCTCACTGCAACCTTCACCTCCCAGGTTCAAGCAACTCTTCTGCCTCAGCCTCCCGAGTAGCTGGGATTACAGGTGTGTCCCACCACTCCTGGCTAATTTTTGTATTTTTAGTAGAGACAGAGTTTTGCCATGTGACTAGGCTGGTCTTGAATTCCTGACCTCAAATTATCTGCCCCCCTCGGCCTCCCAAAGTGCTGGATTACAGGCCGGAGCCATGGCGCCCAGCCTCTATTTGTTATTCTCTAGTAGAGGACTCTGAATTTTGATTTTTTTCTTTGAACGTTTTTTTTTCTATTGTAGTTTGGAGTTGCTTTTAAGGGGAGTTAACGCATTTGTTGGGCTCTAGGTCACTTTGAGGCAGAGAAAACTTCAATCAGACCTCTTAGTTTTCTTAGATATCTGAACTCTTAATCTGGAGCATGCATTTTGTAATTTAAATAAAACTTTTCCCTTTATTTTCTTCAAAATTATCTTTCTTTCTTTCTTTCTTTCTCTCTCTCTCTCTCTCTTTTTTTTTTTTTTAAAAGCAGGGTCTCATTGTGTCACCCAGGCTGGGGCGCAGTGGCATGATCTCAGTTCACTACAATCTCGGGCTCAAGCTATCCTGTCACCTCAGCTTTGCTAGTAGCTGGGACAACAGGTGTGCACCACCACACCTGGCTATTTTTTGTACTTTTTGTAGAGATGGGGGTTTCACCATGTTGCCCAGGCTGGTCTCAACTCCTGGGATCCAGCCTCAGCCTCCTAAACTGTTGGGATTATAGGCGCGAGCCACTACACCTGGCCCAAAATTAGTTTCATTTGAGTTTACATGGGGTGGTTGAAAGTTTTGGGGAGTTTTTTGTTTGTTTTTGGAATCAGTTTCAGACTATGCACTTTTTGGTACTGACACTTTTACACACAACAAGATCATTCATGCAAAAATGAAGAAATAGAAAAATGAAACTCTTGCTTTTTTCTCATCTTTCTCTGGCTTTTCTTCTCTTATGGCCATTTTCTCCCTCTTTCTTTTTTACTGTCTGAAACTCTTTTCATAGACTTGAACACTGCTTAGAATTATAGAACTATTAGCAGGGGCAAATTGTATGCATCTGCAATACTACCTCAATTCTTGATCCTCAGAAGAAAGAATTTGACCAAGGGGGTGTAAGGCAGAGTGAGAGACTGAGGCAGGTTTTAGAGCAGGAATAAAAGTTTATTAAAAAGTTTTAGAGCAAGAATGAAAGGAAGTAAAGCACACTTGGAAGGGGGCCAAGTGGGCAACTTGAGAGTCAAGTGCACTGTTTGACGTTTGTCTTGGGTTTTGTATGTTGCATGATTTGGTGGGTTGCCTTACTTCTCCATTGATTCTCCCTTTGGAGCGGGCTGCCCACATGCACAGTGGCCTGCCAGCGTTTGGAAGGGGCCACATGCACGGTGTGTTTACTGAAGTTGTACACATGCTCACTTGAGGTCTTTTTCCCTTACCAGCCAAGTGTTCTAAGAGGAAGGACATATACCAGTTAAACTCCGCCATTTTGCCTCTTAGTGCTCATGCTTGAGCCCACACACATAACTCCTGAGATCTTATCAGGAAGCGGCTGATCACCACTTCAGGTGTTTCCTATCTATTGGGAGACTGCTTTTCCCTGGTCACTCACATCCGTGTGAAGAGACCACCAAACAGGCTTTGTGTGAGCAACAAGGCTGTTTATTTCACCTGGGTGCAGGCGGGTTGAGTCCGAAAAAGAGAGTCAGCGAAGGGAGATAGGGGTGGGACCGTTTTATAAGATTTGGGTAGGTAAAGGAAAATTACAGTCAAAGGGGGTTGTTCTCTGGCCGGCAGGGGTGGGGGTCACAAGATGCTCAGTAGGGGAGCTTTTTGAGCCAGGATGAGCCAGGAAAAGGAATTTCACAAGGTAATGTCATCAGTTAAGGCAGGAACAGACCATTTTCACTTCTTTTGTCATTCTTCAGTTACTTCAGGCCATCTGGATGTATACGTGCAGGTCACAGGGGATATGATAGCTTAGCTTGGGCTCAGAGGCCTGACACCTGGCACTGGCTTAAACCAATTGTTATTTTAGAAAGACAGTGTGACAACTGCCTGACCATCACCCGACGGTCGCCTGACATTCTTAGATTGGGGGCCCCTCTCCTGCTTTCCTCACGCCTGCCTGACTACCTACTCCAACAGAGCAACAGCGGACATTACCAGAGTTTTTTTTTGCCTAAGAGATCACTCTGCCTCCAGGACTGTGGGTTCTGATGCCTACTGCATTTTATGGAGCTCCTTTCCTCAGAAGAGTGTTGACAGGATAAAAACAAATCCTGGGATCATGTCTTCCTTGATATTTCTGAGCACCGTGTATACATATGTATGTAATGATGGACTCACAAATATGCCACTCTTATACTCAATATTTGAGGTGGACAATCTGACATTGGAAATGTAGACATTGTTGTTAGACCTGGATTTCAATTTTTATGCTTTGTTTTGTGATGTTGACTGGGCTGTATTAAATGTCTTGAGTTTTAGTTTCATGATCTACAAAAGTAGAGTTATAATTTGAAGGAGAACTGAAAGGACTTGATGAGATGACCATTGTGCTGTCTTGTACATAGTAGATGCTCAGGAAGTGTTGGATCTTTTCTTCTCACTCCGTCTGACTCTGGACTGTTGTATAGTCATAGTCAAAAACTTTGTAGCCAAGGTCTATTATAAAACTAGCATATTCATCATAATTATGGCATTTCATAGCAGGTGGTATGTCACGTTCAATGCTCAGCTAAGTAATTGTTTAAATTCCATACAAAAAACAAGTATTTTTCTTACTCTAGTGAAAAGAAAAATCTTGCATTTACAAAATCACTTGAAATAAGAATTTCTGGTATCTAAATAAAGGAATATAATAATATAATAGTTAATATTTACATAGCATTTTCTGTGCCAGGAACTGTTCTAAGTCTTTACATATATTAGCTCATTTAAGTCTCATGATGACTGGCTGCATAATTAGTGAGGTCAGTCCAGTGAAAAATAATGCAAAGCTGCTTGTTCAAAAATTATTAAGAATTTTAACATGGTGATGCCAGAGCATTAAACTAAGAGTGGGGCCTTTCTGATTACAGGGCAGTGTACAAATACCCAAGTGACATATCTCAATCTTCATATCAACTCTATGAGATAAACACCATTATTAATTGCAGACAAAATAATTACGAAGTGGGGAAAAGCTAACTCACACAAGGCTACAGGGACAGGAAGGTTTGGAGCTGGGATTCTACCCAGGTAATTAGTGTTCAGAGTCTATGTTCTTACCTACTGGAAAAAAAAAAGAAAAAAGTCTTTTGTTTATGTACTAACCTTTATTTTATAAATTGCACTATGTATTTTATTTCAGAGCTATGATATCAAAATATCTATTTTGATATGATCATATAGTATACCATATTCATCTATATCAATGCCATGGTTTGTACAAATAGAAAAAGATCTGATGGGAAGCATTATCCATGTAGCTAGTTACACCAAAACTAATATGAATTTTACCAATCACCAAACACTATTCTAAGCCCTTTACTTATATTAACATCATATAACTGTTAATACCACCCTATGAAATAGGTACTATTGTTGCAATCATAGTATTTTAGATGAGGACATTGAGGAATGGAAGACATATATCTTGAGCAATGCCTCACATCTAATAACTGCTAAGGTGAAATTTGAACCCCAACAGGCTGGTTGGGGTCTTCAAGGTACTTTATGTTAGTCTCTTGACTGTGATGAATGAAATGTGCCATTGTTTTAATTTTATCCACTGCTAAATCACCAATAATCAGCAGAATGCCTGACACATTAAATAACCAATCAATGTTTGATGAAGTAATGAATGCACTGAGTCCTTTGAAAATTAAAATTTTAATCATGCAAGTAATACATGGACACATGCTTCTTCTAAAATGCTAATAAAATAGTCTAAAGAAATCAAACCATAAATGTCTTACCAGACCACTCTCCCGCCCTTGTCATGATTTTAATCTTTATTCTCTGGACTTTTCCAGGAAGGACCAAGATTTCCAGGAGTGTTCTGTGTTTATGAATCGCTGTTGATCATGCTATGAGCCGACAGGGTTGACGTTTGCTCTGCATACTCAATGCAGCTCAATATGATCCTGAATATGGTGAAGCTTTCTTCAGAGCCATTTCTTTTGCTGCAGACACATAATAAATGCCCTAGTTTCACTAGGCAGTTTCAGTGGAATTCAATTTGAAAGCTAAAAATGATGCAGATAATTATAAGCAGCTTCAATTCCAGTTACTGTCCAATCCCTGCCTGAAAGCTCCTTGCCAAGGGATGTTAGCCACATGATCCTGTGGCTGCTCAAGGTTAAGCTGTTCTGGGCAAGAGTTTAAATGTGCTGCCACAGGGCAGGTTTACTTCTTTCTAAACAACTCAGGCTGTTTTCTCTAGAGCCTTGAAGCCCAGGGTCTAGACCAGACATTACAGGATTTTATGTCAAAGAAGAGTATAATATTAAAACATAATTGGGGCATCGCTCATGGTTGTTAAGACTGACTTGTGATAAAAAATCATGTGAGGAAAAAAAACTGCCTTTTGGGTAAGCTTTAGAAGGTGGCAATTAAGGAACTTGAGTTTTGGAGCAAAATTGCCTTATTTGAAATCTACCACTGCCACTGTTGACTGAACAATTGACTGATTCTGTACAATTTACTATATTTTCTGAAACTCAGTTTCCTCATTTGTAAACTGGAGATAATAATTGACTTACCTCATAAAACTGTGGTAATGTCAATTGAAACAATTAATGTGAAATACCTAATATGCTGAGATTCTCAATAAATATTAGATTTTATAAGCTTCATAAAATTAAAAAGTGCAGGAGAAACAATTTCAGAATAACTCAGTCCAGTTGGAAATATTATGCCAATATTTTTGCTGAAAGCTGGTGAAATCTTCAGCAGGGACTGGCAGAAACACCAGTGCTTTACTAGGCTTTTCTTGGGCATAATATTCTCCTGAAGTAAATAAATTGACAAATAAATCAATACATTGACAAATGTCATTTGTCAGTAAAAGTGACACCTTCTAAAATGAAGGAGTTACTCTTTTGGTTTCATTGCTATTTAATGGTATGTTCAGAAGTGAACTGACTTATTAACTAATGTGATCTGAGTGACTGTGATGGACATTCTCCTCCAAAGCTGATAGAGTGCCTACAACACTTCCTGCTCTGTAATAGGCACAACATAAATATATAGTGATTTGCAAGCCACCTTTTGGAGGAGAACACTTCCCATTGTTTTTATATCTTCTAATACACCAGTGCTTGGTAAGGTCCTCACAAGAGAATGCTGATACCTGCATTTCTCTTTCCCTGGTTTCCTGCACAGGCTATGGTGGGCGTAAGCTCAGTTCTCAACAACCGCCTGCTGAATAGAACACTGGGCAAGGGAACAAGGGGTTTTAAAGGCACTGATAGCTCTCAAGAGGCTGCTCTGTCTGCCAAGAGATGAGAGCCATAGAATCAGAAGAAAATTTGGAGAATAAAAGGTTCAGAAAGGTGACTAGAGTAGGAGGAGGAAAACAAAGAGACTTTAAAGCGCTCTTCTCTTGAAGCACCATGTCCTCTCACTATTTATTGTTTATCAGGTACCCTTAGACTGGATACTAAGCAAGGCTCGTCACCACAAACCTTGTCACATGCACATTGTCCCTTCCTACTCTTTGGAGCTACCATTGTGTTTGTGAATATCACACACTGTTCACTTAGATATAGATAGATAGATGAAAGATAAGATAGATGGATAGATAGATGATAGGTAGATAGTAGATAGACAGATAGATAGATAGATAGATAGATAGATAGATAGATAGATAATAGATTAGGAGATAGAAAATGTCTTTGTATTTATCTGGTGATGGGAAATCTTGAAGTTTGGAGTCAACCTGATTTAGTTAGGGTAAATAATAGTGCTTGCTCTAACAAGTTGAGTGACCTTGTACAGTTTAGTGGAAATGACTCCTTTATGGGCAACAACTGCTGAATAGTTGATTCATTATTTTTAAAATTATGTTTAAGAGAAAAGTATTCTGAAGATCCGAACATCTCTTAAATATGTTATGTTTGCAAACATAGGAATTTATTCACCAGTCCTTTGATGGAGACTTAAAGCTTTTCTTGTGTATTGGTGTACTGTTTAAATTTCTTACAAAACTCACTCCCATATATAATCTATACATGTAATCTATGATTTCTAGCTTCAGTTTCTTTAAATAGGACAAAAACTAAAACTCTTTGCAAATTATGCTGTGGGGAAAATTTGACAGATGTTTACCACACACCCTCTCCCAAACAGATTTGTGAAAATACAGACCATGTCTTAATTTTTTTTTTTTTTTTTTTTTTTTTTTTCTGAGACAGAGTCTCACTCTGTCGCCCAGGCTGGAGTGCAGTGGCACGATCTCAGCTCACTGCAATCTCTGCCTTCCGGGTTCACGCCATTCTCCTGCCTTAGCCTCCTGAACAGCTGAGACTACAGGTGCCCACCACCACGCCCGGCTAATTTTTTGTATTTTTAGTAGAGACGGGGTTTCACCGTGTTAGCCAGGATGGTCTCGATCTGACCTCGTGATCCACCCGCCTCGGCCTCCCAAAGTGCTGGGATTACAGGCGTGAGCCACTGTGCCCGGCCTCATGTTTTAATTTTGTATTTCTCCCTCCCTCCCTTTATCTTTCCTTTCTTCCTTCCTCCCTCCCTTCCTCTCTTTTTCTTCCTCTATCTCTTCCTCTCTCCCCTTGATCACAGTATATACTGTAGAACCTTGTATATAGTAGCATCATGAAATAAAGGAATTAAATTAATAATGGGTAACTTGCCTACTGTAACACCTAACAAACATATAATATTCAATAAAAATGCTGTTACCATTATTGTTGTCATTATATGTATATATGTTTATCATTATGTTTCTACAGAAGCAAAGTAAATTGGTGTCTTTAAGATAATATTAAAGAAATGGCTAAGGAGGCTTACATGAGATTTTCAGCAAAGTTCCAAGAATTGAAAAACTATAAGTAGCAGATGCAACCTAGAATTCCACTTACCTTATAGTGATAAAAGACACTACATTAGTTTAAGTTTACTAGCCCATCCTGTTGAAATATGTGTGCTCATATATTTTAGTAATACTTGTATTTTTGTGGTGAAATGGTTATGCTTCCAAAAATAACAAATTCCAGTGATTTTAGTTCAAAACAGTTAAGAGCTAGAGCTAGAAAACAACTTTCTTACTTGCATTATTTTTCTTTACATTTTCCTAAACTATACGCAGGCAAAAAAATGTTGTGGAAGTGCTGTTTTATGGAAAAAAGCCCTGAGGTGCTATTTGCCTGCATGCTACTGAACTGAGTTTACATCTTTGCAAACAGGAGGCTTCCCGGAATGTGCTGTGTGTATATATTCAGAGCGCCCCTGTGTTCACTGTTTTAAGTATTGGGTTAGAGATCTCACTAAACAATAAAGTAGCATTAGCTCCCCGTAGACAGGTAATCCTATTATCTTTAGATACAAGGATACATTTTAATAATACAGATACGGAGATTAAAGCAGGAGGATTGAGAAAGCATCCCATTCCCTCAGGGATAATGGGTAATGTAATCATGCTCTTGCACTAAGCAAATAAATTAGAAGTCTTGATTGCATCACAATGGAAGAGATTCATACTTCCATTTCTTTCAAAAGTGATGGCAGTCTGCTTCCAAACTAAGGCCATTTAACATGTCTTTATACATTTTTTCCTAGTTTTTGAAAAATATTTTAAATTGAACCCAAAGGCAAATACGTATAATGCTAGTTGATGCTTTGGGGGATATATCTTTCTATAGAAACCTTCCCTTCCAATGCCATTGAAAACCAAATTTCAAAATTGAGCACTAGAAGTAAGCCAAAAATCAATTACCATTGATGGAACAAAAAAAAACAGTACATTTTTGTCAATATTACTGCTTTCTTTTTTTCTTTTCTAGCTTTGAAAATTAACCCCCATTATGTATGACAATCTCTAAACTAAAGAAACAGTAAAACTCTTGAATATATTCTTTGTACAGCCTTTAAGTAATTAATGGAGTACAACACAGTGGTCTCGATAAAAGTTCCAGAAGAACTCAGGAGGGCAAGAGATGCTGTAGAAAGGAGAGAGGATCAAAGCTGTGTCTTGCAAAACAGAAAAGATTGGGGCATGAAAAAGGTGTGGAGCAAGCAAAGGTCCAAAAAATTGTTCCAGAAAAAAAACTGACTAAATAGGAATGTAGGAAGTATCAAGGGAAGATAATTTGGGCAGATTCTGAAGAACCTTTAGTGCCTTGATAAGGAATTAGACTTTAGGATATCTGGAGTATCTCTCAGCAGGGAAAAATCTTGATAGCAATGGGTTTGAGAACATGAATATGGGAAGGGAGGGTAAGGCAAGTCATCTACGAAGTAAGAAGGCCTTAGTTTTGAATATTAAATGATAAATAAGAAAAAATATGAAAAATGAACAAGCAAGACTATGTAGATGGCCGAATAGACAGAGGCCCCCCCCAAAACTTAACCACACCCTCATCTCCAAGAGCCCAGGTGTTTTTTCCTATTTATCATCTCAGCTGCTCAATGGCTCATGCAATTTTAAAGCAAGAAGAAATAATGAAATAATGATGAAGCAGATGCACTGTGTAAGTGCACACAGGGATGAATAAATTATACAAAATGCACTGCAGTTGGAAGGAAGGAAAGGAATTACTGAAAGAAAGTAGCTTCATGGTTTTCTCATTGAGATCAAACTCAGTCCTGCTCAGTAAAAACGAACTAAGTACTCTTGGTCTGGAGGCCTGACCAGGACCTTAGGAACTTGTGATACAAAGACTGGAAGTTGCCCTGGTTGAGTCAGTGAGTGAGTGGTGAATGAATGTGGAGGCCTAGCACATTACTCTGTACACTCTGTAGACTTTATAAACACTGTACAGTTAGGCTACACTACGTTTGTAAAAAAATATTTTTTCTTTAATTGTAAATTAAGATAGCTTGCTGTAACATTTTTACTTTATAAACTTGTAATTTTTTTTACTGTTTTGTAGTAATACTTAGTTTAAAATACACATTGTACAGCCATACACATTGTACAGCCATATGAAAATATTTTCTCTCTGTATATCTTTATATTATAAGCTTCTTTCTATGCTTATAATTTTTGTTTTATTTTCTACTTTTAAACTTTTTTCTTAAAAGCTGAGATATAACCATATACACTAGCCTAGGCCTTCATGGGGTCAGGATCACCAATATCGTCATCCTCTACTACATCTTGTTCCACTAGAGGGTCTTCAGGGACAATAACACACATGGAGCTGTCATCTCCTATGATAACAATGCCTTCTCATGGAATGCTTCCTGAACGAACTGCCTGAGGCTATTTTACAGTTAACATTTTTTCTTTTAATACCGTGTACTCAGAAAGAGTATACTCTAAAACAACCATAAAAATTATAGTATAGAAAATATATTAACTAGTAACAGAGTAATTTCTTATCATGATCAAATATTATGTACTGTACAGAATTGTATGTGCTATGCTTTCTTTTTTTTTTTTATTTTTTATTTTTTGGAGATGGAGTTTAGCTCTTGTTGCCCTGGCTGGAGTGCAATGGCATGATCTTGGCTCACTGCAACCTCTGCCTCCTGGATTCAAGCGATTCTCCTGCCTCAACCTCCCGAGTAGCTGGAATTATAGGCGCCCACCGCTACGCCTGGCTAATTTTTGTATTTTTAGTAGAGATGGGGTTTTGCCATGTTGACCAGGCTGGTCTTCAACTCCTGACCTCAGGTGATCCACCCACCTCAGCCCCCCAAAGTGCTGGGATTATAGGCACGAGCCACCGCGCCCTGCCCCATGTGCTATACTTTTATAGGACTGACAGTACAGGAAGTTTGTTTATACCAGCATCACCACAAACACATGAGTAATACAGTGCACTACAACATCGTGACGACCATGTCACTAGATGATGGGACTTTTTCAGCTCCATTATGATCTTATGGGACCGCAGTCATATACGCAGTCTGTTGTTAACTAAAACGTCGTTATGCAGTGCATGAGTGTATTTGATGCAACACAGTCATCTCAGGAATTAAAGTGGCTGTGTCTAAGTCCCAGTAGCCCTCCGTTTTGACTTATTTCCTTTTCCTCAAAAATTAGATGCCCTTTCAACCTGGTTTGACAAAAATCACTGAAATTGATCAATGCATATAGGTTTTGGGTCTATGAAAAAATGCATATTTTAGCTCTGAAGAGAACGATAACAGAACTTGACTGGGAGTTGTAAATGTCAGTGAATAACGGGTTATGGGACATGAAGCATATTTTCAGATTTCTCAGAGAACCATACTTGGGTCCAAATGACTTCATGTTAAAGAAACGGAATAAAATCAACTCAGCATTCCTGCTGACCAGCTTTCTATCTCAGTAAGTAAGTCATCATGCCCTCCGGAGCAACCATCTTAGGTCAATCAAAACATTTGGCCTCATTAACCACTTTGGATTTATCTTAGGACTTTCTTATTTATAGTCTTCCCAAGGCATAATGGGCTTCAAAATGTACTTTTCCCTGGTTCATGTTGAGTTGAACCAAGTTCTGTGCTTTTACTCAGCAGGCAGTCATTTGACTGTCAGCTTTTATATTTTTCTCTATGATCAAGGAGTTCATACGGCTGCTCCTAGGTGCCTAATTAACATTCCTCCATCACTGCATCCCTGCTTGTAATTATTCTTCATGCCACCTTTGTTTCCTCAACCATCAGGAATATATCAATAGGTCAAATCGTTTTAGTACTTCTGACTTAGCTCTTCTTTAAGCTTCATAATTATTAGATATAAACTGCAGATAATACAGATCTCTTATTTCAGCAGATTCTGTGATTCTGCTTTTTGTTTGTTTGTTTTTGTCAGGAGAGAAATTGGACTAAATTCTGAAGAGTGGCCATGGTTTGGGAAGATAGAAGAGGGTGCTGCATATAGGGATATTAGGAGCAGAGCTAAAAGGCAGGAATCAAGTTGCATGTTGGTGAAGATATGTGATGTGTTCGGTGTAGAGAGGTACACCCTTGAATTTGAAATGTAATATGGTGGGGGGAGGGGTGGAATAATATAAACCTTAGAATAAGAGTAGGTCTAGGAAGCTGGTCCCCACATCTTCAACTCACCTTACAGCCACCCAGCAGGCAGACTTATCTCCCAAATCTGGTCCTTTTACTCTCTTACTCTGGTTCTTTCAATGAGACTCCAGTGCCTTCAGCTAAATTTCAAATGATTTCTCCTGCCATTCTAGACATTGCAGGTCCCAGCACACATGAGTTTCCTAAACTAATCTTCAGTCCTTGCTCTCCTGCCAGGCACCTCACATTTCAGCCACATTCAGTACATCCTTGAACTCACCATGAACACTCATTTCCACATTACCACCCATGTGCTCACTTGCTCTTATCTTCCACCTCCAGTGCACTTATAAACTCCTACACAGTATATAAGATACAGGTAAAATATAAGTCATTGTTTGTATCATTCCTCAGTCATAGCTATTTACTTCACTACATGTACATCCGATACCCTTGAACATATCTGTATTACACCATTTACCACAACGTATTATATTTATGTACTTACATGTCTAATCTGCCACCTAGACTTGAGCTCAGCGTTTTTATTTATCCATGTTCCCCTTAAAGATTCTCATATGCCTGATAGATGGCAGGTACCTAATCGATGTTTGTTAAAGTGTTTTGGATGGAGAATCACTACCATGTTCTTTCCTAAAAAATCCCAGGAATTGGTGGTATAACATGACTGGTCATTGTTAATTAATGTTTTCTACTAGAGATTGTTCTTAGTCAGTCTTCATGATTTTTTTTGGTTAACAAATATTTTGGGGATTTTAATGGCCAAAATTATTTCTAAAAAATTGCTTCTGTGGTTGTTGGTCATTCACTTAGAAAGGATTTACTGAACACTTCCAATTAATGAGCTAATTTCAGTTTTCTGAATCACAACAATATTTATTTCCCAAGAAGTAAACAAATTTCTGCATATAAATTAGAATTTTATTAGGTAGCAGTTTTATAAATCATGTAGTTTAGAATGGCATTCTCCTAGAACAAATCCATAGGTCTTTTTTAGAAAAAAAAAAAAGAAAAGAAAAGAAAATGTCGCCTCAATAATTTTAGATGTAATTTCCATACACATTTTATTGTTGTGTATTATAGGTTGATTACTGCTCCTGATAGATTTTTAAGTTGCTTAAGCATATAAAAGCCCCAATATAATTTTCCACAGATAGATGGAGAGAAAGAACTTTTTAAACGCAACTCTATAATTTGTATATCTGAATCCTGATCTTTTAAAGCTTTCTTAGTGTTTTCCTTAGCAGAAAAAATGTTTATCATTAGAACTGTTAAGGAGGAATCATATCTCCTTTTATAAAGTGCTTTATTTTTCAAAGTAAAGGAAATGCGAGATGGCACCTTATAAAATTGCTGATCAAAAATGGTCAAATGTTGGCAGTTTCATGTGGTTCACCCTAATACTTACAGCTTGATTTTTTGAGAGGAAAAAGGATTGAAGGACGTAAAAATGTTATCTTCCAGTAATCTCAAAAGATACCTGAGAGAGAACTATACAGTGAATGCTGATGTACTGATTATGAAATGTATTTTCATAAAAATGACTGTAACCTGGTTAAACAAGGCATTTTTCTCCTGGATTCTGCACACACTAGTAGAATAAATTCAGTTGGTTTCCATTCCTCTGTCAGTTAGTGCACGTAAGTCTCACCCATTTGTAATGTCTAGAAATCTTAAAAAGCATCAGAATTACCATTAATGATGATGATCACAGTCTGCTAGATGCCCAGGAATGACTAAAGCCTACTACTAAAGCCCCAGTAGCAGTCAATATAGGTTATGCTTCAATAACAAACAAGTACACCAAATCCTTATAGCATAACACAATGTTTATGTTTAAAATTGTGATATGAGTTGAATGACTTTCCAGAGCAGATTTTGGAGGGGGAGAATACTCAATTATGTACTTTTCATTACCACAAACTGAAGTGGCACATTCTCAGTTCTAGTTACATTTTATTTGCTAGGACTCTGGTCTCAACTAATTGGAAGACGAAAGTGAAGTACAATGAATGAAGAAAGGAGAGGAAAATCAGATATGGTTGAGCACTAAACATCTTTACCATAGTTTGTAAGACTAAATAGACTTCGTACATTTTATTTAGTATTTTTTTCATTCTTGCTTGGGGAAATCTTTCCAAGATACATTGCCAAACTGGGGTAAATGAAGATGAAAGAAAGTCTGAGACCTAAGAGGTTGAATTTCTTGAAACTATTTTATAATGACCATTTCCTTACTTCTTTTTGCCTTGTTGATTCTTTCCTTGTTCATTCTATTTACCACACCAGACATAACTCCACATAGCAAGATTTTGCCTTGTCTGATGCCTTCATTTTCATAATTTATTTCCACACATATAAGCAGAATGGGTTACAATGGCAGACAGAAATCTTTAGCTTTGAAATAGAATGGCCAGTGAGAAGCATGCCTATATGAAGAATCTCATATAGAGAGAAAATTTAAATTTCAATAGAGTGTTTTTCTTAAACTTAGAATTGGCCACTTTTTTTTTTTTTTGTCATTTCTTTTCACTTCACAGGAACATAGGGAAATCTTAACTTCAGAAGCAATTTGCGTGCAATCTCTCTTCCTGGATGGGTGAGGATTGCCCCCTTCAGCTCCTGCTAAGCTTTATCAAATGGAGAAAGCCTCATTTCATGCAGGCAGGAGTGGAGAGTGGCTCTAGTGTGCATGCTATCCTCATCCTCCAAAATATTTCACATAAATAATATGTTACCATCAGAAACATAAAATATCAATTATATATTATAAAGCAGAATTTATAATTCTACATAGAGTGTAACTGAGCAAAAATTCCATTGAGGTATAAAAACAGAAAATGCAAAGAATCTTTGCTCATATGAAACTGACAACATGCCATCTCCCCTTCATATGACTAAACCTGCTCTCCCAATCCCATTGTACCATTTGGAGAGATTTACATCAATCCAGAACAAAAATTACTCACTTTACCTTAAGTATTGTTAGCTTCCTTATTTCATTGTATTTCTTCAGTTCCTTCAGTTTGTTTTTAACTGAATATTGGTTTCTATTGGTTTCTTCAGTTATTTTTTAAATGATGTAAAAATAAAGTTTATCTCATATCCCTATTAAAATCTCTCAACACTCATGTCTCCCTGACAGCCCCTGCTCATTCTCTTTCTTCCAGCCTGGTACTTCCTTCACTTCTCTCCTTCCTCCTCTTTCTCCTTCTTCTCCTCCTCTTTCTTCTTTCTTTTTCCTTGTCTTTCTCTTGTTTTTATTTTCCTTCCCCCTCTTCTTCCCTCATCTGGAAGTGGCTTATGATGCACCCGAATCAGAATCCCGACGAACAAAAATTATGATTATCTCAACCTTAAGAAAAACAGCTGGATTCTAGAAAACCCTCAAAGAAAGTACGAGATTTGGGAAAGAAGCACAAATGTCCCCCAAGTCCCTACCCCACTCTCTCATGCCGAGAAAAAACAGCTTCACAACACAAAGCTTTTATGAAGGGCTAGCAGTTCCAGTGATGGGCTCCTGAGCCCTGAGCCTAACTGGTGCCTGTTGACCTCACTGCTGTTCAAATACTGTCTTCTTGTCCTAAAATTAGACATTACCTTTATTTGATTTTCTCTGGCACTGTCTGCCTGCCAACCAGCTGCCTCCCCTGCCACCCCCGCACACACTGGTGATGCATTCCAGATCCAAATCCAAGTCCTGGTTGCTGACATGATTCCAGATCTCACTGACTGTGGGATTTGTCTAGAATTATGAGGCCAAGTCTCATATTTTGAGATATGAAGAGGACAGAAACATAAATAGACCCAGAACAGGATCTCAGTGTTACTTTTTTATCTGTGTGAAGGACAACGATCTCTCCATTTTATTCTCTCTTTAATACCTATTTCCAAACATAAGAAACTGGAACTTATGATGTGCCTATAGTGTCAAACATTGCTCCAGGCATGGTACTTGCACTGTCTTGTTTAATTCTCACACAAACCTACACAAGAACTGTTATGATTCTCCTTAATTGATGAGGCGCCAAAGTCCAGAGGGATCAAGTAACTTGCAAAGGCTCACAGTCATGTGGCTGAGCAGAGGTTCCAATCCAGGGCATGTTAGTGCACACGGGCTCTTCCCTAGTGCCATAATTCCTCCCCTCAAATAAGATTTTCCTGGTAATTTGTGTTTTTTGAACCAATAAGACTTACCCTAATAAAACAGGATAAAAGGTAACAATTGGCAGGCGCAGTGCCTGTAATCCCAGCGCTTTGGGAGGCCAAGGTGGGTGGATCACCTGAGGTCAGGAGTTTGGCCAACATGGCAAAACCCCCTCTCTACAAAAATTAGCCAGGCGTGGTGGCAGAGCCTGTAATCCCAGCTACTTGAGAGTCTGAGGCAAGAAAATCGCTTGAACCCAGGAGGCAGAGGTTGCAGTGAGCTGAGATTGCATCACTCACTCCAGCCTGGGTGACAGAGTGAGATTCCATCTCAAAAAAAAAAAAAAAAGTAACAATTAATTCCATTTATATGGGAAAACTAGATATAGAGAATGTATGCAATTTGTTGACTCTTTTTTGGTAAAAAGAACTAGTACTAGAAATTCAAACTTTCAAGCTTCTAGTTCAGCACTTTTTCAATGATATTGATACAAGATATTTTGCTCCTTAGCTCAGCTAATCTGGGTTCTTGTCTCAAGACCAGGAAGAATTAGGCATGCAGACACATTGAAGGGTGAGAAGGATGGAATGTATTAAGCCAAAAAGAAGCTCTCAGCAAAGAGAGGAGGTCCTGCAAGCAGGTTTCCACCTCCCAAATTGAATACCAGGGCCACCACACAGGAGACAAAGAGGCCGAGCTCCTTCCCTGCATAAGGCGTGAATTCCTGGTGGCTCCACCCCATTCCCCAAGTACAGGTGGGCCTCTAGTCCATTGTGGGCATGCCCAGGCAAGCCCCCTGTGCAGTTCCCTCATCTGCACAAAACATCTGGTGTAAACACTTGTGGGATGGGTTGGAGATTCTGCAGGGATTCTTCCGTATCTGCGTAGGCCTTTGTCTGCCTCCTGCCTCTATCAATATCTTGATGTTTAGAACTGAGGGGAAAAATATATGGTAATTTTTGAGACTGTGAGGCAGAGCTACTTCCTTCACTGTAATATTCATGGCCCTGAATGCTGGCCAACAGAGGGTCAGGACACAGGAAGGGAAGCAGCATCTTATAGATGGGCCGCCCCTCAACACTGTTTGCTGCGCTACTCGATGTCACTATAGAAGATGTTGCTCTACCCCAGGTTGCCTCTGCCCACTCCTGTCAATCTTGTTTTTCACAATTAATTATTGACCTATTTGATCTTCCTAATTTCCAATTAGCCACATTCTACTTTGTCCAATTTCCCCAATCCTATCCCTTAGTATAAAATCCTGCTAAATTGCATTTTTTTCAATCTCCCTAAGTAATGTGATACATGATGTCAAGCCAACAGCATTCATTTATTTTAAATAAACTTACAGCTAGAAATTTTGTTTCTTTAACCACATTGCTAGACTTGAATAAAGTATTTTATTTAATGAATGGACGATGATGATAATTGCATTTTTTAAAAGAGCAAAGGAATCATTAGGTATTGCCTGTTTTCCAACAATACTAGATTTTATTTTAAATATGTCATAATTATTTCTACCTGAAGAGCACTGGCACTGGAGCTAGCCTGCCCTGGTACACATCGTGGCTCCATGTCTTACCAGCGGTGTGACTGTGTGTGAGTTACTAAATCACTCCGTGCTTAGGTTTTCTCCTACAAAACAAAGATAATAATAATTCCTCTATTATATAATTATGGTTAGATGCAAATAAAATTGTGTCCAGAATTTATTCCTTCTGGTGGGTTCTTGGTCTCGCTGACTTCAAGAATGAAGCCACGGACCTTGCAGTGAGTGTTACAGCTCTTAAAGGTGGTGCATCCGGAGTTTGTTCCTTCTGGTGGGTTCACTGACTTCAAGAATGAAGCTGTGGAACTTTGAATCGAGTGTTACAGCTTTAAAGGTGGTGCAGACCCAAAAAGTGAGCAGCAACTAGATTTATTGTGAAGAGTGAAAGAACAAAGCTCCCTCAGTGTGGAAGGAGACCCGAGTGGGTTGCCACTGGTGGTTGGCATGGCCAGCTTTTTATTCTCTTATTTGGCCCCGCCCATGTCCTGCTGATTTGTCCATTTTACAGAGTGCTGATTTGTCCATTTTACAGAGTGCTGATTAGTCCATTTTACAGAGTGCTGATTGGTGCATTTTTACAGAGTGCTGATTGGTGCATTTAGAATCCTTTAGCTGGACACGGAGCGCTGATTGGTGCGTTTTTACAGAGTGCTGATGGATGCATTTACAAGCCTTTAGCTAGACACAGAGCGCTGGTTGGTGCGTTTTTACAGAGTGCTGATTGGTGCATTTAGAATCCTTTAGCTAGACACAGAGCGCTGATTGGTGCGTTTTTACAGAGTGATGATGGGTGCATTTACAAGCCTTTAGCTAGACACAAAAGTTCTTCAAGTCCCCACTCAGCCCAGGAAGTCCAGCTGGCTTCACCTCTCAAAATGATATAGGTTTGGGGGAACTTTTAAAAATTTGGGCAGATTATTTTTTGGCAGTTATTTTTTGTTGCTATGTTTTATCTTCACGTGTTTGTGTGTGTGTTTGTGTATTTCTTAAGAATACTCAAACTTGGCTGGGTGCAGTGGCTCACTCCTGTAATCCCAGCTCTTTGGGAGGTCAAGGCCAGCAGATTGTTTGAGGCTAGGAGTTTGAGAACAGACTGGGAGTATAGTGAAACCCTGTCTCTACTAAAAATTTAAAAAATTATCTGGGTGTGGTGGCAATGCCTGTAGCCTTAGCTACTTGGAGGCTGAGGCAGGAGGATCCTTTGAGCCCAGAAGGTTGAGGCTGCACTGAGTCATAATTGTGCCATTGCAACTCTAGCCTGGGTGACAGAGTTTAACCCTGTCTCTAAAAGAAAAAAAGAAAGAAATGCTCATGTTCTTGGAATAAATTCATTTTTATAAATTTATTCAAATTAGTTATACAAAAAACTATGAGGAACATATGTCTGTAAGAAGGTTCATACAACCTCATTGAACATGATTGCTCCTAGTAGGAACTTAAATAGATAACATAAGACAACATCAATAGGATTTTAAGGCAGCCATTTACAATTACAATCTCATTTTAAGGCAGCCATTTTAAGGCAGCCATTTACAATTACAATTACAATCTCAAATAATAATTTTATAAAATAGAATATTGTATATTATTTAGAAAACAAATTACACAAATGACTTCAATTTACATTAAAACTCATATGTACATTGGACATGCAGTAAGAATATGAATAACTTCCAAATTTTCTGCAGCGAGCCTGTATCAATTTAAAATCAGAATTTATGTGTATGTATTTAAAATATATATTTAACGTAATTCTACCATCTGACCTAGTAATTCCTAATCATTTAATGTCCCATCTAATTCTTTACTGTTGAGTAATTTGATTTCCGATACTGTAATTTATTAAAATAATGAAGAAAAAGGAAAAATATGTACTAACATGTAAATTTCAGCATGATATATAAGACTAGAAAATTGAAACACAAAGGAACAATAGTCACGGAATCGTTAAATATAATAGGATCGCAGTTTAATATACGAGTATGAAAACTCATATGTTAAGAGAGAAAAACTGGATACAGCTATATGTGTGTGCATCTAGATATAGACTAAAATATATTTTTAAAATCCTATGGCTATGACTAGATAAAGGGCTAGAAGAAAATTTTTGTAAGTTTTGACAGTAATTACTTCTGGGGAGAGGTGTTTCTGTTTTCTCTCTATTCTTCATTTCCAAAATTTTCTCCTATTATGTTATATAAATTTATAGCGAGGAAAATAAAGATATTTTATTAAATGTAATTTCTTAAAGAAAATATTTTATTTTCCTTCTTCCATTGACAAGTTCTCTAAGGTAAATTTTTTCTGACTCCTCCCAGATCACGTGTCCACCATTTTATTTTATCTAGGGAATGACAACCTCACTTATGTCATTTTGAAGTACTGCATTATATGATATTTGGGGGGAATGGCCTCTCCCTTAAAACCTTTACCTGCAAGCTTCCTCTGGAGTCTTTTTGAGTCAGCACCTCCATCTGTGGTCCAAGATGAAAAAGGATGTACTAAATCACCTTGACAGTCGTCTGTTTGCATTATATCATCAGTCCCTGTCTTATGTGTGGATGCAACATTTCTTCAATCCATTCTTTGCCTCTCCTAAGTGCACACATTCTCAGGCAGAATGGAGAATCACTTTTTGTTTTGCTATAAAACACACACTGACTTTTGAGACACCTTCCCAGAATGTCCCAGCAAGACTATTATTAATTTTTAAACAGAGATAGGACTCCCAAGAAGGAAAACCAGGCCATGGTTTACTTCGCATAATTTAACTGCTTAACTCAAAATATTTTCCCTAGAGACCATCACGGTAGTGAAACTTTTCCTATTATACCATTCATTGACAAATTTGTAATCATGATGTATGTGTATATACTTATAGTATATATTTAAAATGGGCATTCTGACCTTGTAGTTTATAATTACAGGATTAACAAGGCTGAAAGGAAATTATGTAAATTAGGAAATAGGACAAGAGTGAGGGACAAACCTGGAATGATGACAAGCACAGGGAAAGATGGTTAAGGGAAAAAAAAATAACTTCCTCTTTTGCTGATTTCCGTATTGTCTAGAGCTAGCCATACTTAGACCAGCAAATAAGCCAATCTTTTTCTGATGTTTACTCAGCATTTTCTGAGGCTCTCCTAGCAACAAGAGTGTTGCAGGGTGCTGGTCCTGAGAAGGCCAAGCACATGCCCCCTTTGTGGAACTCTTGGTCAAATGGAAAAACCAAGTCCAAGAGTCAAGCAAAAGGCCAAGAGTTTTGACAGAATGCTCACAGGAGTGTGTTCAACTTTACCTGGGAAAAAGAAAATGAGCAAGCAGAGAGATATGACTTTGTCTTAGTGAATCTGACCGTTTTCAAGTAAAATGTATAGCACATACTTTGTCCAGTTTGAATGGTGATATATTGCAAATTAAATGAATTACTTAAAGGCCACTGTTTATGATTTAATCTATGAAAAACGTCCCTCCATTGCATTTCTGCATACGTTAGGTACTTCTGTCAGAGCATCTTATTCTGCTAGTTTGTTTACACTTGTTTCTCTCTCTTCTGAACTGAGACTTTCAAATATTATGGTACAACTATCAGATGCTGATATATAATGCTTAGAAAATGTAGATGAAGTGGGAAAACAAAAAGTTTCATATTTGGGGTCTTATAAATTGCTCCTGTTTTAAGGAAGATCCAATAATCAAACATACTTACACCACTTTTTGTTGTTGAATTCAATTGGCATAAAATGACAACACAAACACAATTTTAACATGATTGAAATTGTTGGATGATGAAGTAGGAAAAAGTGTTAGGGAAGTCCGGAAAAGTAAACCTAAACCTGCTTAAGGTAACTGGAAGGAATGGAAGTGGCTGTCAAACTGAAGAAAAGTTTTGTAAAAAAAAATTACAGAGAAATCCATATTCCCAAGGTGATCTCTGGATTTTGTCCAGAAGACTCAGGCAGCTAGCCATCTTGTGATGATCCCAAGAAATTCGTTCATGAACTTTTTCTTCTTAGAGAGGAGAGGATCACACATATTCATTTTCTATGACCAGAGCTCAGAGATACAAACAAACACTACGTCCAATTTTATGTCAGTAGATTGTCTAAAATATTCAGAGTCTGGATGGATAAAATATTATATTACCAACAAACTAAAGGACTTGTGGGTACTCCAACAGCACGTGGGCAATTGGAATGATATCCTTTTTAACGTGACTTTAGTAAGTCTTAAATTGTGTTAGCAGCATAAATATGTGGGAAGTGGTAGGAAGCAGAGAAAGGAGGACGCTTGCTGGTAGCTGGGTAGGGGCAGGGAAGTTGAGGGGCCTCCAGACCTCATTTCAGAAAGTCATTAGGAATGTGTCACTCTGTAATTGGCCTGCGTTTCTGGGACCCGTCAGTATCTGCCTTTTTGGATCAATGTGTGATTTTTGAGGCTGTGACAGTCCCGCTCTGAGTGGGTTGCAGGTGAAGCACAGTTGCCCTGTCTTACGAAAGGGAGAGGGTTGGCAAGAAAAGTCCATCTGACATTGTAAACAGCTAAATTTATCAAGGCAACCCATTTTTCAGCTATACAGAACTGTATTTCTGTAGCTGTTTTTTAAAAATATTATCTAATAACCTCCTAGATTTTTCTCACTTCCTACCTATGGTGAAACATGTAAATAAGGAGAACCCAAAAGCATCTCAGTTCATAACACGTTTGATTTTTTTGTTTCTTTTCTTTGGAAATGTTCTTGCATGAACCATTTGCACAATGCCAGGATAAAGCCAGTTCAAACAGATGTGAATTGCTGACTTGATCATGAGAAAATTAGAAAAAAGTTACCTAATGCTAGTGTAAAACTGGTTAGTGTGTGAGGGTGTGCTTAAAGAAGCAGGAAAATTACACAAGACGATATGAGTACCCCACCTTGGAATCTTAACAGGGGAAAAAGTCTACTCATTAACATATGCTTTAAATAATCCAAAAGATTAAATAATACCATGATAAAATAACTTACAATTGCAAAAATGTATTTTTAAAGTACAAAAATACCAGAGAAAACATTTTTATTGATCTACGTAAGCCCTATTAAATAAATTATTTTGCAGAGACATTATGCAGTCATTGGGAAAATGGGTTTAAACTTCAGTCAGACTCAGATTCAAGTCTTAGCTCTACTGCACTCTTGTTCTATTTCCTAAGCAACTTACCAAACCTTTTGGAGTCTCAGTGTTCTTATCTGTAAAGTGCTGATAATATAAATATCTAGCCCACAGAGCGGTTGTGAGGAACAAAGGAGAACACACATAAAGTACCTGGGTTATAGAAAGTATGCAATGTATTTGCGTCAGTACTGCTTCTAATAGTACTCAGTGCCACTCTCCAAATTCCACAATATGCTTAACACTCAAACTTATTTGATGAGAAGATCTATATTTTTTCTACTATACCACACCTGTACTTCACAATATTTACATTGTTTAAAAAAGCAAATGTTGGTCTCATTGATATTTCTATGGCTAACTCATCATGGAAATGTTGACCATATAACCTTGTAATGTCTTATTAAGAGGAAGTGGGCTTTCCAAGGGCAAATCAAAGTTTTCTGAAATACGAATGTATTATGGGTCTCTGAAGCACATGGGCATTAGGGAAAACTTCATCCCAAGATCCTGAAATGGATTAGGATCAATTTGTGTTAATCTTGAAGTAATTGTCTAGCCCAGGGAAGTTCCTGTTAAGAACTCACTTAATGATTGTGGAAGAAAAGAAAGAAAATAAAAGAAGGAAAGAGGGAAGGAAGGAAGGAAGGAAGGAAGGAAGCAAGGGAGGCAGGGAGGGAGGGAGACAGGGAGGGAGGGAAGGAAAGAAGGAAGGAAGGAAGAAGGGATGGAGGGAGGAAGTATCAATAAATTAATTACTAGTTATAACACCTGAGGATCATCTTCTTGCGCAAATTATTTTTAACGTTCTTTAGCTACAGGCAAAGATCATCCTCATCCCACCACTTTTGTCCAAAATTGTAGCTGCATCCTTGTTTTATTGTCAAGCTAGCCTTAAGACCTCGTTCCTCCCTTCTAAACTATTGGCCAATTCTTTTTTTTTATACTTGAAAATGTGCCCTTTATCTAATACTTATTATAGCAAATCATGTCGATCTCTAATGGCTCTGAGCAGATGCGCCCTACTTGGTGCACTTGTTCCACTCCTTGATGCAGAGAGACTGTCTCTCTTATTTTAGCCTTTTGCATTTAATGCTTTATATTTGCCTTCTCTCCCACCCCTATGGTCCATGGCCCCAGTAAGAAGGCAATATCCATGAATTATTCTTCTCCAGAACACAATACTGCACAAATAAACATTTTCTGATTTTCAAAACATTTGTGCATATATGGATGATCTGTGTGTGTGTGTGTGTGTGTGTGCATTCAAAGCACACAGCATGATTTCTAACATACACTATGAGTGCATAACTTGGTCTATGCATTGACTCAGATACAAAATAATAATTCAGGAAAAAGAAAGGTATTCAAGATGAAGCAAGATAAGCCATCACACTTTGACCATCCTCAAGAAGAAATTCAACAGGGTAAGTACAATTAGGGATATGGTATTTCACGTGTGGTGGTCCAGCAGGATGCAGCCCATGTGAACTTACTTTCAGCGCTTGACAGACATTGTGAGTGAAAATTATTTTGATCAAAGTCTTAAGTTAGATCGCACACTAAATATGGATTCATCTAGGTTACATGGTAGACTGAGAAATCCATTGAAAATTTCCGCCCGAGAAAACCAGCTTGAAAATAATGTAAGTCTTGTCACTCGAGGAGACTTGGACATATTAAAAGAGTTTGATGTGGAAGTTTGGAAAGCACCTATACCAAACTGAAATATTGCCAAGATTATTAATGCATCACTTTGATGAGCCAAGAATTTCCATCTTTCCCCATGGGAGGGATGTCTCCAATAGTTGGAGGTGGAAAGAGGGCACAGCTTTTATTTTAAGAATAAAGAATTTCAAAATGAAGAAAAGAATTGCAGCTAGGTTTTGACAGAGCCTGTTGAGAAGTGGAGGCAAACATGATGTTTTATAAATGTTGGTATTACAATCAGATCACTTTTGGTAGGTGCCTTCTGATTGTCTAATTAGTATGATGTCAGCTGGGCTTGAGAATCATTTCTTTTTTTTAAAACCATCTGTTTTGTCATAAAAGTTTCTTTAGAAGCCATATGCAGGCAGAGCATTTATGCTTTTGTTTTTTCAAAGTGATCTTCTGTGTTCTTTGTGTCTACATCCTGTGGCATAAATCGTAGTTTTAAACTATCTAGGAAGAATGCAAGGAGTCCAGCAGAAGAAATAAATAAATAATTGGCCAATTAAATCAATTAATTGAAAAATCAGTGATCTTGGACACAAGGGAACACGTCACCTTTAACTCGTGTCACAGGAAGAAATTATGTTTTCAAAATGGTGAGGTTTTGAATCATATTGCCTTCTGAGCCTGAATTTTCCTATTTAAAAATGGGAGATTTGGTAAGGAATTAATTAAACTCACATATAAGAGGACAATGCAGGAGAAACTCTATATTATAATAAATTATATATTATAGATGAAGATATTTTATAAAGTCTTAAATACAAAACAAATATCAGTTATAACAATTGTATATATTTTAATCATTATAATAAACATTTATTAACCACTAGAAAGCAAGCTAGTATGAGTCATTAAACCACAATTTTCTACCATTTGTTACTTCAAAACTTCTTCCCTTGTCGGTTTCTTGTACATGTTTGCTGAATGTGTACATACATGCATGCATACCTCGTCTTTCTCAAGCTAGTGAGGTTAATGACTATAAAATAACATTTTATTTTCCCTTTACTTTAAACTTTTCCCAGCATAAATCTGTCAGTCAAGTACTCCTGCCTCTCGCTTGATCAGAATTACATGGTTGTTCTTGAGTCCTTTTGAGATCCCAAGAGTCTGGTGACATATTTGTAAGTCACAAGGAATTAAGAGGTCAAGAACATCAATATCAGTTCAGGAATGTACGGATAGAGCCCTATGATCAAGCAAGAAACACCAGCTGTAAGCACCATTCAACGTACTTAGAACAGTTCAATAAACTCTGATGGATGATGAAAATTTCAAAAGCATACTCTACACAAGGAACATAAAGCAATCTTTTTGGATAGTCAATTTCTTGGTAGTAATAGTAGTAGCGTTAATGTTATTTCTTTACATTTGTTGAGCACTTGATGCTTTTCTAAGTGCTTTAAAACATGTTATCTCAGAATGTTTAGTCCCCACCAGTGCATCCCAATTTGCAGATATTAACTTTGAGCTATGGCAGCAAACAGCTCAAGATCTACATTAGCTTTCGGTGTCTAAGAAATGCAAAACTTCCTCATTCTTCTTACCATGTAATTTTCCAACATATAGGGATATATTAGAAGCCTGGAGACTCAGCAACTTGCCATCTCTTACAAAATTAATGATGGAGTTAGTATTTGAACCTGAGTCTTCTGATCTTTTCACCAGCATGGGTGCTGTTCAGGCTCACACTTTGGATCACCCTGTGAGGCTGATGCTGGCTGTCTGTGAAGCAGCAGGAGGAAGAGAAACAACCCACAGCACAGAAAACAGTGCTGCTTTGAAGAGTGGGTCACAACACGATTGCCAGGCTGTGATGCATCTCATCTTGTAAAAGTAAATACTTGGCGATTTCCTTGTGGATTCCAATAGTTTCTCTTGTCACACACTGACTATAACAGCTGCATTCGCTTCATGAAAATGGGTTAGAGATAATAAATTGACCGAAAATATAGAAGACTGAAGTTTTTGAAAGCAGTATCTGGAAACAAATTGTTTATAAATTTTACCTCTAGAATTTTGAACTCCAGAGCAACTCAATTTAAAATTTGGAACAACGATAATTACCAAAGAATTTTCCACAGCCTTAAACTAGTATTTCCCACCAAAACAGTGATACTTAAAATGCATATGAAGTAATTTATTTTAGGAGTATTGTGCATATTATGCATACACACAAACTTACACTACTATGTAACTGAGAAACAAGAACTTGACAAGGTGCAGGTCAGGCTAGGGGTGAGAAGTTGGAGTGAGGCAGATACAGTGCGACTGGAAGGGAACGCAGTCCAGAACAGAATCAGGTGTTGAAACTATCAGGAAGCAGTGAATTCCAACTGGCACAAGTGTTGTTGTTGTTTTTTCTCATCTCCGACTTGAAAACTGAAGGGACACACGAGTCCTTTGATGATTCCTTGAGTGATCCAGATGTACTGAGCTGGGGATGTTTTGGAAGAGGGAATTTTCTGAGTAAATAATAAGGGACAATATCTTTGTATCAGATGTACATAAATGTGATAAACATGCTTTGAAAGTGCTGTAGTCAAATTCTTAAATTATGATAACCGAGAAAAAAGTTAAGAAAAATGGTATATGTATAATAATACTATGTTCAGACTCCACTGTTTCTGCCATTTTTTTTGTTGTTATTTTATCTATTTTTTCTTGGTCTCCTTCCTTTCTTCTCCTTCCTTTCTTAACCCTTCCTTCCTTCTTTTGTCTTTCTCTCTCTCTCTCGCTCACTCTCTTCCTCTTTTTCTTTCTTACTGGCAGTCTGAGTGGTAAGACAGTGCTGTATATACAGAACTGTATCATAGAAGGGAACCTAGAAATTTTCTAGTTCAGAGTTTTCTAAAATGCATTTTATAATAAATTAGTTGTATGAGATATTTTTAGGGGGTTCTATGCTAACAAACTGAAAGAAACATGGTGTTTTATATTCCTCCTTAGACCTTCACCATATATATTGGCAAATTAAAGATGAAACATTTTGCAATTAAGATAACTACTTAATTTTGTTTTATCTATTTATTTCCAAACTTACACTCAATGACCCTAACTTGGATAATACCAAAAGAACTTAAGGAGCTAGCTACCCCAAATCACTGTTGGGGGAACAGACGATTTATTCTATCTTGCTACTCACTGCAGGAATAACATGTCAGCACTAATGACACATATTTGTGAATATGTGTTTTGGGTACTGTCAGGGGCTCTGAGCAATAATGAAGGAAGAACCATTCAACAGGCACCCTTTTATGGGTCAGATTCGTTCCTTTAGTGGGCTCTTTTAGAGGGTTTTATTGTTAATTTCCTACCAACACACTTGCTACAATATATTGTATAAGAAATTCATAAGTTCCTGGGCTAAGGCATTTGGCCTAACTGTCTAAGCCGGGATGCTGTCTGACAGATTTTTCACAAATTTATCACACTGAGTCATTGTAAGGGAATTAGGACCACAAGAGACCTTCTTTTTGGTCCTGGTTAGGATCTGAACATCAGATTTCTGTTTAGGCACCCAGAACTGGTTAATCAAATCATAATGACTGTATTCCATACTGTTATTCATCGGGGAAGCATATTTATCTGAGTATCAGATAAGCTACCTTTTAATTTTTTTTAACTGCTATGATGTGCCACTTAAACGAATGCCAAGACTTTGTGCTTACAAACCTTCTACCCACAAAGAATCCTTTATCTTACCTTTGCATAATTGACTTATTTCTAATTAAATGTGGTATAGAAAAAAAAAGACCTACAAAATTTCAACTTCTATCATTTGTTCCTTCCTTTAAGTCTCTGTGCTTCTGTAAACATGTTAGAACCTTGAGCAATGCATTGTCCATGCTGCTAGCTCTTCCTTTCAGATAGGTTTCATGATACATTCCACCAACCACAACACACACACACTCACACACAAACACACACCATCCAGATCTTTATTCTATTTCCCGATTAAATGTTCAGAAAGGCAGTGCAAGGCCAACATCTAAGTGTGCAACTCAAGACTTCTGTCCACCTTGATATTATTCAGCATTTTTGAGGGACAGTTGGTAGTTACACTAACTATAAATCTACCAGACTATATCATACTCCTTCATCTTGCCCACAAGGATATCATATGCTCTGCTAAAAATCAAGAAACACTCTATCTAATTCTTCCAGTTTACCAATTTAATAACACTACCAAAGGAGGAACTTGTACTAGTTTGGCTCGTCTTATTATTCCAATCCATGAGAGAAATTTGTAATAAATCTTCATTGTTTTATGTCATGACACTCCCGGTATTATTTATGCAATTCTGTTTTCACTGCCAATGTTTCATATCAAGTAAAAATGTTTTCATATCAAATAAGCATATTTGACCACTATCAGGCTATTGGCATCTCTTTATCTTCTGAAATTTTGCAAATATTACCTCATAATTATTCTGAATGCTATTTGCAGCTTGTCCATTTGTAAAGAATTTGTCATTCAAAATATTTTAAAATTTTCATGTTTGAGAATTAATTCAACTCATAATTCAATTTTATAGTTGTTTAAAATCTTCTTTGTAAAAGAATATGCTCAGAATATTACATCAAGAAGGCAGGTTGGACACATACACCTATCTTGTGCCTATCTCACACAAATCACTGAATAATAGAAATCATGCAAAAAGTAAAAATAAATTGATAATAGTGTTCACAAACAATTAGGGGGCAGCAATCATCAGACAGAAAATCCTGAAAATGTGTTGCATATGGAATTAGTTTGCTGGAGAAACAAGAGTAAGCCTTCATTTACATATGGAAAAAAACTATAGAAAAGGGAAAGTCAGGTTCTGTAATATTTGAATTTTGTGATCAACAGATACAAGACAAGCCCTCTGGACTGGTGCTTCTCAAATGTCAGCGACACACAAATCACATGGGAAAGGTGTTTAAATACAGTCTGATTAGAAGGTCTGGGGTGGTGGCCAAGTGTCTGCTTTGCATGTTAGACAATGCTAACACTGCTGGTCCTTAAACATTTCTTTGAATATCAAGGGTCTTGATCAGAGGCTGTGGGGGGCAGAGCCCAGCAATCTGTTTGTTAACAAGTCCTCCAGGGCATTCAGATACATGCTTAAATGTGGACCCTCTAGTAGTTAAGTGAACAGGTGCATTGAGTTCAGCTGGCCTGTTACCTACATTTACCACATTTCCATTCCCTCCCCTAATCCAAGCTGCAGGGTCCACAAGTGTTTTCTCTGAGGCTTAAAACCCTGTATAACTCTGGTCTCAGAAGATATTAATCAATGACCCTGAGGAGGGCTTACAGTGTTGATTCGTTATCTGAGGTAGAACAAAGCAAATTTGGAGATTACCTTTATCCTTTTACCATCTACATGAAGGAGGAACAAAGAAAAGGCAGTTTTGCTGAGGGAGAAAATCTATCCAAGTGATCCACCCATGTTAAAGTGTTTTTTATTTTGGCATTTGCCTGACAGGGTCTGAAGCTTGCCTGCCACTTTCCCATTCACGTTTCTTAGAATTAGAATTTATATGGAGCCTATGTCTACTTTCATACAATATATGAAAACACTTAAGTTATCATTTAAGGTAAAAACTATTGATTAAAATATGTTTATCCTCTTATCTTGATAATGATGTGATGGCCAGGTTTATATTTAGAATTTTGTGCTGCCTGGAGTTCCACATTTGAATGTGGAGCTGTAGGGACAGCTCCAACCTGGCCTTTAAGCTTTCCTCCCCTGATCAACCACCCACTCCCTTTCTTTTCTTTTTTTTATCAATCTACAGCATTTGGACTCAACATTTTGCAAGTAAGCATATCTTAGGGATTTGTGACAATCTTTTCAGCAATAGTAGCTCATTAGAGTGGCAATGCTAAATGCTGCCTGTGGGTGGTTAGGGCAACAGAAGGCATACCTCCCCAAAATGACATATTATAATCTCCAGGGAGACGTGTGAAATTTGAAAAAGCTTCCAAGATGATTGCCTAGTTACCATTTTGGGATTTGAAATCTTTATATACGTTATTTCCATGCCCTCCTTGGTTAAGTCTCCAGATGGAGTAATTATTTACAAATGTCAATAATATTTACTTCAAATCTTACTATATTAACAAAAATCATAGGCAACGTTAAAGCCTCTTGAACAAATTCTTTCTTCCTTATATAAATCTTGTGAGTCTCCATCCTGGACAAGTACTTGTATATTTTTTTCACATGTGGGGCTGACACTCAGCTGATATACACCACAAAAACTTATTTGTTAAACAACATTATGCTTTATAAATCTAACCATTTAGAAATGATACATGTATATCAAGTTTATTATTTTTGAATATTTTATTCCAGACACCCAATCAAAAAGAAATATAAATTTGAGGTTGGGCGTGGTGGCTCACGCCTTTAATCCCAGCACTTTGGGAGGCTGAGGCAGGTGGATCACTTGATGTCAGGGGTTCAAGACCAGCCTGACCAACATGTTGAAACCCTGTCTCTACTAAAAATGCAAAAATTAGCCAGGCGTGGTGGTGCACATCTTTAATCCCAGCTACTTGGGAGGCTGAAGCAGGAGAACTGCATGAACCCAGGAGGCGGAGGTTGCAGTGAGCTGAGATCGCACCACTGCACTCCAGCCTGGGTGACAGAGTAAGACTCCATCTCAAAAAAAAAAAATAAAATAAAATAAATATATATATATATATATATGTATATATATTTGATATATTAAAAAATAAACTATATTAAGAAAAACAAAATGAATACTTTTGTACTCAATTTCATCATATAATTATTTGCATATTAACTTGAGGGTCTTTTTATAAAGTAAAACAACAGAAACAACGAAGAGCTTTTTGAAAATTTCCCTTTTGTTGCATTCCTTCTCGAGGTAGCAATTATATTAAATTCAACATTTCACAGTGTATGGATTTTTTTCTAATGCCACCACTGGCTGGTTTTGAGATTTTTCTCATTACCCTTGATATTTTTCAATTTCATTTTAAAGTACCTAGTTGTGGGCTGAGATTTTTCTTTTTCTTTCTTTTTTGAGACAGGGTCTTGCTCTCTTTCCCAGGCTGGAGTGTAGTGGCACAAACAACCTGGGCAACAGAGCCAGACTTCAACCTCAGCCTCCCAGCTCAAGCAACCCTCCTGCCTCAGGAGGCAAGAAGCTGGTACCTCCCAAGAAGCTGGTACCACTGATGTCTGCCATCACTCCTGGTTAATTGTTTGTTTTTGTTTTTGTAGAGACAGGGACTTACTCTGTTGCCCAGGCTGCTCTCAAACTCCTGGCCTCAGGTGATCCTCCTGCCTCCACCTCCCAAAGTGCTGGGATTACAGGTGTGAGCCACTGTTCCCAGGCCTGATTTATTTTATTTTAAAATTACATGTTTTGAGCCAGGCATGGTGGCTCATGCCTGTAATTCCAGCACTTTGGGAGGCTGAGGTGTGTGGATCACCTGTGGTCAGGAGTTTGAGACAAGCCTGACCAACATGGTGAAACATCATCTCTACTAAAAAAAAAAAAAAAAAAAAAAAAAATTAGCCAGGTGTGGTGGCGCATGCCTGTAATCCCAGCTACTCAGGAGGCTGAGGCAAGAGAATTGCTTGAACCTAGGAGGCAGAGGTTACAGTGAGCCAGGATCACGCCACTGCACTCCATCCTGGGCAACACAGTAGACTCTGTCTCAAAATTTAAAAAATAAATAAATACATAAGATAAAATTACATGTTTGGGTACTGTTAGTGTGTTTTTTGATTGAAGAACTCATATCCGTTTTTAATCTTACGAATACTCTGCTATTTTTTTCAAATATTGCTCATCTGCTATTTTTTCCGTTTATTTTTGTGGGATTACTGTGAAGCATATGCTATATCCTCTCCTTCTGTCCTAAGTGTTTTGTATGATATATCCCTTTGTCCCTCTGACTATGGTTATAGGTGAGTTTCCCAGGACCATTTTTCTCTTTTCTTTTTTCTTTCCAACATGTATTTTAGGTGCAGGAGGTACAGGTGCAGATTTGTTACATGAGTAAATTATGTGTTGTGGGAGTTTGGTGTACAGATTACTTTGTCACCCAAGTAATAAGCATAGTACCCAATAGGTGGTTTTGTGATCCTCACTCTCCTCTCACTTGCCATCCTCAAGTAGGCCCTGGTGTCTGTGGCTCCCTTCTTTGTGTCCATGTGTATTCAATGTTTCACTCCCGGTACCACCTTTCGATTTACAAATTTGTTTTTAAATTGTATCCAGTTATGATCATCCCATCTGATGCACTTTTTAATTTATATTACAATTACTTAATACTATATGTATACTTTTTATTTCTATGATTTGTTTATGATTCTTTTTCATAAGACAAGAAAGTTGCTTTGGTTGTTTTTGTTTTAAATTAATATTGAATTCATCTTATTGAGCACTTTAAACATCTTCCAAAATGTTTGTCAATACTAGAGTTTTATTGACTTTTATAAGATACATTTTCTTCCTGTGTTTGAAACATTTGATTCCAGTCTCATTTGATGAGAGTATATTTTATATTTTTCTCCTTCTGTCTCTCTCCCTGCTTACTTTTCTTGGTGCTCATATATCTTTGTATTGCTGTTGGCAATTGCCTCTCGTAACCCCTGAGCAGCCACTTTATAACTGGGTTTTATACGGTAGTGATTCTGGGGAGGGCAGATCCCTTCCCAGAACCAGCAGAAGTCTGTCCTCAACTCATGAAGTCCCCCTCCATGTCCTCTCTTCTCCCTATACCTTTAGGTTATTTAGAGCGGCTCTGTCCAATCAGGCAGCCACTAGCCATTGATGAATATGTAAGTTGAATATTTAGTCAACGGAATTAAATAAAATGTAAAATGCAGTTTTCTATTCACACTAGCCAATTGTGTCTAATGGCTACCAGGAAGGGCAGCTCTCATGCATCTTGACAGACAGTTCTATCGGATGGTGTGACTCTAGAGCTATAATCCCAGGTGTCGTTTCTTTCTTGTTGTTGTTGTTTTTTGTTTGTTCCAGCAGCTGGTTTTTTTTTGTTTTTGTTTTTTGTTTGTTTGTTTGTTTGTTTTTGAGATGGACTCTTTCTCTGTCACCAGGCTGGAGTGCTGTGGCGCGATCTTGGCTCACTGCAACCTCGGCTTCCTGGGTTCAAGCGATTCTCCTGTCTCAGCCTCCTGAGTAGCTGGGACTACAAGTGTGCGCCACCATCCCCAGCTGATTTTTGTATGTTAGTAGAGACGGGGTTTAACCATGTTGACCAGGATGGTCTGGATCTCTTGACCTCATGATCCCCCCGCCTCGGCCTCCCAAAGTGCTGGAACCAGCGGCTGTTTAAGCTTGGCTTGTTTTCTTTGGGATGGATGAGCCACATACCATGTCCCACTAGTTGCAAGCAGAAAGCCTTACTTTATTTCCCTGTTTCATTGAATCACTTTCAGCCCTCTGTTTCTTGCAGGTCCTAAATAAAGTCCAAGTTCCCATTGTCTGGGTCCAGGGCTTTTAAATCCATGGTAACAAAATAACTCACTGCTTTGTTTTTCTGTTCCTTTTCTGGTCTTCAAATCAGAAGCTGCTGTTATAGTTTTCCTTTATATTTTAACCATTGTAAATAATTATTTGGACCCAAGAGATTGCTGAAGAATTGTGCATCTTGGCCAAGAAGTAAATAGTCCATTCACTTTTATTGCAGACTTATATTCCATTATATTTTGAACAACCTATATTTATTTACACATACTGATTTTATGGCCATTTTGGCTGCTTCCAATTTTTACAATTAATAAGAATGCTGCCATTAACATCTTGCACTTCTGCACAAGTATGCAAGTTCCTTTGTTGGACATATAGCAAGAAATGGAGCTGCCAGATCATAGGATATGTGCACACTAATCATTGTTTTATATTATTCTTCAGAATTGTTGCAGTGTTTAATCACTATTCCTCAGTATTTCTCAAGATTAAGAATTGATTTCTGGCTGGGCTCAGTGGCTCACACATGTAATCACAGCACTTTGGGAGGCCAAGGCAGGTGAATCCTCTCAGGTCGGGAGTTCGAGACTAGCCTGCCCAACATGGTAAAACCAAGTCTCTACCAAAATTACAAAAATTAGCCAGGCGTGGTGGCGCATGCCTGTAATCCCAGCTACTTGGGAGGCTGAGGCAGGAGAATTGCTTGAACCTAGGAGGAGGAGGTTGCAGTGAGCCGAGATCGCACGACTGCACTCCAGCCTGGGCGACAAGAGCAAGACTCCATCTCAAAAAAAAAAAAAAAAAAAAAAAAGAATTTATTTCTGCAAATGGTGGATGTAGAATGCTATCTGATTTTAATTTCATTTATTCAATTATTAGCTCATATCTTTTTCATTTTTTATTTTTATTTTATTTTATTTTATTTTTATTTTATGACACAAATGGGTCATTTGTGTTTCTTCCTTGGCTGTTTACCTGTTAATGGCCTTTGCTTATGATTTTTTTACTGGTTTTTACAAGTTATACATTCATAAAAGTAAAAACATTTTGTTTATATGATTTGCAATGATCTTTTTACTGCCTTGGGCTTTCTTTTGAACTTCGGTGACTTTTGTTTAGAAGTGTTTTGTGTTTTTATTGAGAAGTCAAATACATTATTTACTTATGTTGCTATGTTTCACAGGCTGCTCTCTAATTATTGGCCTCAATTGATCCTCTTGCCTCAGTCTCCCAAGTTGGTGGGATTACAGTCCTGAGCTATTTTGCTCAGCAGATTGATTAATTGATTAATTAATTAGAGACAGGGTCTCACTCTGTCACCCAGGCTAGAATGTGGTCACCTTATCATAGCTCACTGCAGCCTCAAACTTCTGGGCTCAAGTGATCTTCCTGCCTTAGCCTCCTGAGTAGCTAGGACTACAAGTGTGTGCAACCATGTCTGGCTATTTTATTTTTTATTTTTATTTTTTTAGAGATGGAGCCCTGCCATGTTGCCCAGGCTGGTCTCAAATTCCTGGCCTCAAGTTTTCCTCTCACCTTTGCCTCCTAAAGTGCTGGGAGTACATGCATGAGCCACTATGCCTGGCCATATTTATTCTTAAATAAGAATGTTTCTGATTTGTGTGTTATTCAATGTATTATTCTCTAGCTTAAATTTTTAAAAATATATTCCTCCTATGTTTAAGTTGTGTTTTTCATATTTAAGTATGTAATATATCTGGATTTATCTGTGTGTTTGTGTGTGTGTGTGTGTGTGTGTGTGTGTGTGTGAGATGGTGCATAATTTAATTATTTGGTCCATATTTATGATTGGTGGTCCTATGATCCTTTGTGTATGGGTTTTCCTTTCCCCTCTGACTTCTTCCAATGCTACTTAAGTATTATACTAATTCCCACATATGACGATTTGATTTCCTCTGTTCTCTACTATTGGTCTGTTTATCATATGATCAATTTTACACCATCTTTACTGCCATTCTTTATGTCTTATAGGGAAAATCCTCTTGGATCCCCATTGTGTATGTCTGTAAAGTTTTATTTACTTTCACAGCACTCTCATACTTTTGTATTCTAACTTGTTTTTGGATCACACACACCTGCAGACACATAGACACACACATGGAAATTGCATTTAATTTGTAAATAAATTTGAAATAAATGACATTTTACAATGCTTTTCTTTCTATTCAAGAAAATGATATGCCTCCATATTTCTCCATTTATAGAAATCTTCTTTTAGAGCTCCTTCATGAAATTTTATAATTCTCTCCAAAAGAATCCTTTGCACCATTAGTTAGTTTCATTTCACAGTAGTTGTAACTTTGGTTGCCATTTTGAATGGGATTTTTAAAAAATATTTTCTTCTAAATATATGTTATTGGAATAGAGGAAAAATAGGGATTTTATATATTCTATAAAGCAAGATTAATAAAGTTCACTATTAAAGAGTTTTTTAAAAGATTATACTAAGGTTAAAAAATAACAAACCATATCTTTCATTATTCTGCTGGCTAAAAATCACCAATTAACTGTCTAATTGAAGTATTGGGAGCAGTATCCTTGATTTGTTTCCGACGTGAAAGGGAAAGCTTGAAATATTTTCACATTATGTAATAGTTACATAGGGCTGTGAATCTCAAACCTTCGGGTGCATCAGAAACACGTGGAGGGCTTGGTTAGCAAAAGGTTATGATTCTCCATGGCCAACGCTTCCGAAGGAGTAAATCTGAGCTGGGTGCAGATAATTTGTATTCCATAACAAGTTCTCAGGAGACGCTGCTGCTGGGGATCAGAAAAGAAATGTGGTGAAGTGGGCAGAGAGGCTGGATGCTCGCAATGGGAGTCAGATGGCAAAGTTAAAGATGCTGGTCAGGGCAGGGCTCACTGGAGCCTAAGTTGTCACCTGAGCAAGGTCTTGAGGACATGAGAGCATTAGGCATGAAGATTCCTGGAGGAGGAGCTTCTTAGGCACGTGGAACATGAGAATATTACTGATGTGTCTGAGAAACTTCAAGAGGGCCATAGTGGCTGGAGTAGTGTGGTTGATAAAGAATTATAAAAGAGTAATCCCAGCATTTTGGAAGGCCAAGACAGACGGATCAGTTGAGGTCAGGAGTTTATGACCACCCCAGCCAGCATGATGAAACTTCATTTCTACTAAAAATACAAAAATTAGCCAGGCATGGTGGCAGATGCCTATAATCCTAGCTACTCGGGAGGCTGAGGCAGGAGAATCACTTGAATCGGGGAGGTGGAGGTTGCAGTGAGCCAAGATCGTGCCACTGCATTCCAGCCTGGGTGACAGAATGAGACTTCATCTCAAAAAAAAAAAAAAAAAAAAAAAAAAAATCATAAAAGACAGGCAAGAGGGCTAATGGGAGGCCAGGAGGACTACCTTAAAGGATCATCGTAAGCACTCTGTCTTCCATTTTAAATGACTTGGGGATTTGCTCTCAAGAGTAAGATAATTTGATATGTTTTTAAAGGATCATCTGACTTTTAAGAGTAAGCATTAAAGGGCCAGGATAGAAACATGGAGACCAAGAAAGGGGTTGTTGCAGTAATACAGACAAGATTTGTTGTCATGGTGGGGAGAAGTGATCAGATTTCAGTATGGTTAAAGGTAGACCTTGAACTTGACTCTCCTACCATTGGATAAGGGATGTGAAATAAAGAAAGGAGTCATGGATGCTTTTGGCCTGAGCAACTCAAAAAAGATTGAACCCCTTCAAGGAAACTGAGGGTTTCCCTTAAATGAGGACACTGCGTAAAGAAAGGAAACTGTTCTCCTAATGCACTGGGTGTGGAAAGTGCTGAGGATATTCCAAATAATACAAATACAGAGGATTTATCAAGTGCATACATGGGACTTGGTATTTTTTATGAAAGATTTATTTAAGGACTAGGGACCACTGTGGACCTCCTTGTGAAAAACATAAATTGTATTTTGATATCGTCTAATGTTAAACCCAAGTTTCTTCACAATGCTACCTCTCTCCCTCAATTATGGAAACCTATATGACCACACTGAAGTTTGCCATGGATTCAATTTGTTTATTATTCTACCTCTTGATTCTTGCTGCCACAAAACAGTAGTCATTTCAACTCTCATCATTTTTTCCTGAAGATGTGGATGGATGCCCTGCTGTCCCAGAGACAGACCTGAAGGAGCCGCCATGGTTGTCATGGTATGCTGAATGTACACCATAGGGCTCAGTTTCCCTGAGGAATTAAAGTCATTCCATAGTAATATGTATCACCTTTAACTTATGATAACAATCCAGTCCAGTTAATTTCATTTACTTTTTCATTGACAGTTAAAATGATATGTATTACTATGTACAATCTGATGTTTTGACATATACATGCAATATGCTGTGACTAAATCTACATAATTAACATATGTATTTCTTCATGTAGTTATCATGTTGGTGCTGAGAACACTTTATATCCACTCTCTTAGGATTTATCAAGAATACAATATATTAACTATACTCACCATGTTAAAAAAAAATGTGGATGGATGCTCCCTCAACAAACTGAACTTTCCTTTCCACAGTAAGATGCCTGCTGTGAGCAGCTGCAGAAAGCAGCTCTGTTTCAGCAACAAAGAAAAGCATATTGCAGAACTACCCATACCTCATGCTTCCGTGTCATTTTCCTTTGCATTTATTTTTATTATTCCTCAAAAAACAGAAACAATGTTTTCTGCTTCTGATGATCAAATATTTATCTTCTATAAACTTGTACTTTATGCTTTTCAGTTTAACTACAATTACCTTTGGTTTTCCCTGGGTATAAAATGGATGATACCTTAATTTAAAAATGAAGTTTTCACACAAGATAAGAAAATTGCAAATTCTAAATAAGGATTGATGTCTGTTGCTAATAGTCTAACAAGAAAAACATAGTGGTATATCAGAGGAAATATTTTTTTAATTAGCAATGTATATAGTTCTCATTTAATGACTAACTTTTAACTATGTTTGAATGAATTTTTCCTTGCCCACCTCATCAGTGGCACACCGCCATGACACAGAGAAAAGTCCACATCTATTGATTATTAAAAAGAAGGTAGTGAAAAATCTATTAACTATGTTTTATATTATTTCTGTGTATTCTTAAACACAAAAATGAAAAATAAAAATCACTCCTTTTACTACAAATGCTTAATCTTTATTTTCTAAATAATAAATAGGCTAGAGATGTTCATTTCCTATTTCCACCCACCATCATCAGCACTATTTAGTTTTTAAATAGACTAAATTTTTTTTAGTCAATCTCAAGAAAAAAAGAGTTTAAAGTCTTGGGTGTGGCTGGGCGTGGTGGCTCATACCTGTAATCCCAGCAATTTGGGAGACTGCAGTAGGTGGATCGCTTGAGGCCAGGAGTTCGAGACCAGCCTGAGCAACATGGCAAAACCCCATCGCTACCAAAAAATACAAAACAATTAGCCAGCTGTGATGGCACACGCCTGTAGTCCCAACCGCTTTGGAGGCTGAGGCACGTGAGTCCCTTGAACCCGGAGGCAGAGGTTGCAGTGAGCTGAGATCTCGCCACTGCACTCCAACCTGGGTGACAAAGTCTTGGATGTGAATCTCAACTACTTTCAGTGGTGTCTCTGACAAGTTGTCATCCCTCCTCTGCTGGAGTCCTACAGTGACAGCAATTGCACTTTATTCTAGAACGGTACATTTTATTTTGTGGTTTCTATGATTTTCAAATACATATTTACATTCTTTGAACATCAGTTTCTTTAATAAATAGGAACCAAAATGAAAATGTTATAGTGATGAGACATAAGGTAATATATATAAAATGTGTATCAGTGCTATCAGGATTGCAAATATTCTGTAAATATTAGTTATTATTTTAAACGAATTTGTGTCAAATCTTTGCCTTGAAGTGATACAGTGTCACTGGAAGGTTAAGATATGAACATACTTTGTTAGTTCAAAGTATCATAGACCAGTGTCTTATAAACAACAGATTTTTTTCTCACAGTTCTGGAGGCTGGAGGTTGAATTTCAGGTCACCATCATGGTTGTACCTGTTGAGGGGCCTCCTCCAGGCTGCAGACTACCAACTTCTCCTTGTATCCTCACATGGCAAAAAGACAGGGGGCTAGCTCTCTAGCCTCTTCTTATAAGTGGATAAATCACATTTATGAGGGCCCTGTCCTGGTGACCTAATTGCCTTCCAAAGGCCACACCTCCAAATACCATCACACTGAAAAATAGAGTTTCAACATATAAACTTTGGAAGAAGACAAACATTCATTCCATAATACACACAGAAAATGAACTTGAGATTATTTTGATATAAATGCGATTCTGTAGAAATAATTTTAAAAACCCGAGTGATTGACAGAATAATTAATTATATAGAAAACAACGACACGAAGACCTAAAGGTATGTAGAGAATATTTTCAGTTTTAATATTCAGGTAAGTTTTTTAATTGGGTTGGGTTAAGCATATACATATGTATACACACGTATAACATACACATATCTCATCTATATAGACACTTCCCCGTGAACCTAGTTGTTTTGCCCCCACACCCAATCCCCACCCACTCACATATCTAAATGTATCTCTGAATGCAGATCTGTTAAGGCAGGTGGGAACCTTAGAGTGAATATAGATCACTTGTAGCCTTCTCCACAAAGCATTAGCACTGAGACTCAGCGTGCACACATTTCTACATGGCAGGTGGCCCCATCGAGGTCCTGTTAAAAAGGGTGCAGATATAGAGGATGTACGGTGCCCTGCTGATAAGAACTAAACAGTGACCCCTGATAAATTAACGTTTCTTTGTCCAAACCAAAATGAGGCCCTGACTCATTTCAGGAGAGGCACTTATAATTATTGAGGAAAGGTGTTAGGAAGAAATCACAGGCCCTAGAGACTCTCAACAATCTGTATCAATAAAGTCTAATAACATCATAGGAAGCAAATTAAGGTGGAAACTGATTGCTGCTGATTGCAAAGGTCTTTATACATAATTTAAATGATCCATAAAGAGCAACTGGTGGACTAGTCTCCAAAATAAATTATCCTGTAACAGGAAATTCAAATGTTTTGATCACTAGAATACAAATGATAAAATTACATAATATGAAAACATAATTTTAATATACATTTTACTGAGGAAAGTGGTTTCTATTTAATCAGTGAAAATAAGTTTATTAATATGGAATTGTATAGTCTTTCATTGGAACTAGTTATTTACTAGTTCTTTTATTGGTTAATGTGAGCTAAACATCAAACCAAATTCTGTACCACTTATTCCCAAAGACACCGAATGATAGAGTGGCAGTAATCAAAATAAAGAAAAAAATACAATACCTTAAAGATGTAGGTGCATTGAAATTAAGTAAGCTTTACATCTAGAAACAATTTTGGTCTATCTGAGGCTTGATTCTGAGCCCTGAGCTTGTATTATATAAATAATTTTTTATAGTGAAAAGTGATCATGACTTTGGAATACTATGTAAGCAATGTTTTGGGCATTATCTGTTTCTCTAGTGGGTCCATCCATCCAGGTTCATTGGTTTGCAGAAAATATATAAAATGAAGCATTGGAAAAGCTTTTTTTTTTTTTTTTTTTTTTTTTTTGAGATGGAGTCTTGCTGTGTCGCCCAGGCTAGAGTGCAGTGGCTTGATCTTGGCTCACTGCAAGCTCTGCCTCCCAGGTTCACGCCATCCTCCTGCCTCAGCCTCCCAAGTAGCTGGGACTACAGGCACCCGCCACCACGCTTGGTTAATTTTTTGTATTTTTAGTAGAGACAGGGTTTCACCACGTTAGTAGTAGATCGGGGTCTTGATCTCCTGACCTCGTGATCCGCCTGCCTCGACCTCCCAAAGTGCTGGGATTACAGGCGTGAGCCACCACCTGTGGCCGGAAAAGCTTTCACATAATCTCCAAGCACAGCAGGTTTTAAGTAATCTGAGTGTACAGGAATCTCTCAACCAAGGGGTTCTTGGGCTTCTACTGTAACACTCCCAGTGGCAGAGACCATTGTGTTTCTGTATGGTTCTATTGAAAAGTCTTTTTTTTTTTTTAATAGTGAGCCAATGTCTCTGTCCTTCCATTTCCACTCACCTGTATGTCAAAGCCTCACAAAACAAGCCCAAACTCAGTGTCCCAAGACAGCTATCAGCTGTGGGATAATAACCACCACACCCTCTTCCCGAAAAGGAGACTGACTCCAGTTATTCTATTCACTAACATATTCCTCTGAGTAATTCATTTTCAATGTCTCTGTTAAAGGAAGACATTTAAAAAAATAAAAATAAAGAGGACGAGATCCACATATACTAGTCTGCTAGCTCCTATCTGGTACACCCACTGGCTTTACCCTAATTTCTTCAACTCAAATATCTCCCTTTCTCCCTTCAGCCTAGGAGTGAGATGGTTTCATTCTGTTGTCAACTCCTGTTTTACTTTATCATCCCTTGCTTAGCTTCTGACTCTTTCTTCACCTGTGCAATCAATTGTCTTTATTAAAAGATACTTGAAGAGGTTTCTGTTGTGGTTTCCGTATACCAAGAACACGATGATCATATTTGTGATTCTGATTACCTATTCTTTGAGGTTCAATGTCTACTTCTTGTTTAAAGCAACTGTTAGTATTGACATTAAAAGTTCTACTATATAAATTGACATCTGTGGACAAAAGAAAAGTGATTTAAAAGTTTTTCAATTTTTGACAATGAAAACTCATGGTCAAAAAGGCCTAGACACAAGTCACAACTGCAAACCTTATTTGCTTTGCAACTTGCTCAAATTATTCCAAATCTCCATTTTCCATATTTAAAATAACAAAACAATGCTGACTTAACAACACAGGGTGGAATATGTAGGTAATTATGTCAAGTGTCTAGCACAGAATCTGGAAAATTGTAGGCACTTGATAAACATGACTTCTGCCGTTTCTACATAAAATGATGTAGATTAATTCCAAGAGCCCCAGTCACTTCTTATTTACTTCTGACAAATGATTTTTTTCTAAAGTACTAATTATAAAATTGACTAATGATGTTGTAGCCT